>NC_000004.12:87254714-87406229 GCF_000001405.40 Homo sapiens | reverse complement strand
CAGTAACTATTCAGGGAAAAGATTTTGAAGGACTAGTAGATACTGGAGCTGATGTCTCTATTATTGCTATAAATCAGTGGCCCTGGGACTGGCCTAAGCAAAAGGCATTCATTGGTATTTTTGGAGTAGGAGCTTCCTCGGAAGTTTTTCAAAGTTCCTTTATTTTGCCACATCAAGGGCCAAATGGTCTGGAAGGGACAATTCAGCCTATCATTACACCTATTCCTCTCAACTTATGGGGTAGAGACTTATTGCAATAATGGGATGCTGAAATATCTATTCCTATGGATCAATATAGCAGTAACAGTAGACAAATGATGATAAATATGGTATATTGCCCAGGAAAATGACTAGGAAAAGATAAAAATAGTCAATCAGAACCTTTAGAATTAAAAGGACAAACGGATCGGACCAGATTGGGGTGTCATTTTTAGAAGCGGCCATTGTTGAGCCTCTGGCTCCCATTCCTCTCGTTTGGCTAACTGCCAAACTGGTTTGGGTGGACCAATGGCTGCTGAAACAGGAAAAACTGGAGGCTTTAAAAGAGCTGGTACAGGAACAATTGCAAAAGGTTCATATAGAACCTACTTTCTGCTCTTGGAATTCTCCTGTATTTGTCATTAAGAAAAAATCAGGGAAATGCAGAATGTTAACAGATTTAAGGGCTGTTAATGCTGTAATTCAACCCATGGGTGCACTACAACTAGGGTTACCCTCCATAACAATGATTGCAAAATACTGGCCTCTCATAGTGATAGATCTAAAGGATTGCTTCTTTTACCATTCCTTTAGCTGCCCAAGATTATGAAAAATTTGCTTTTACTATTTCCGCCATAAATAATAAAAGAACCAGCAGACAGATACCATTGGAAAGTACTACCACAAGGCATGCTAAATAGCCTGACTATCTGCCAAACTTATGTCGGGAAAGCTATTAAGCCAGTTAGAGAATGGTTTAAAAAATGTTGTATCATCCATTACATGGATGATATTTTGTGGGCCGCTGAAACTAGGGAAGAATTGATGTTGTGCTACAAACAGTTAGAAAAGGCTGTAAATGCTTCAGTGTTGATTATAGCCCCCAGTAAAATCCAAACTTCTACTCCCTTTCAATATCTAGGAATGAAGGTAGAACAAAGTCCTATTAAGCCTCAAAAGGTTCAAATTCAAAGAGATAATTTAGAAACCTTAAATGATTTCCAAAAATTATTAGGAGACATTAATTGTATTTGTCCAACTTTAGGCATTCCTACCTATGCTATGTCTCACCTCTTTTCTACTTCACGAGGTGATTCTGACCTTAACAGGAAATGCTCCTTGTCCAAACAGGCATTGGAGGAACTTCAATTAATTGAGGAAAAAATTCAGCAAGCACAAGTAGAACGGATTAATCCAATGCAACCATTACAGTTTTTAGTTTTTCCTATGAAGCATTCACCTACAGGAGTTATAGTTCAACAGGATGATCTGGTTGAGTGGCTTTTTCTGCCTCACAATACAACCAAAATGTTCACTCTGTACTTGTTGGATCAAATTGCTGTGCTAGTAGGACAAGCAAGGCTGCGCACAACAAAGCTAATGTGATATGATCAAATCAGATTATAGTTCTGTTAACTAAACAACAAATTCAACAAGCCTATGTTAATTCCCAAGAATGGCAAGTTAATTTGGCAGGTTTTGTTGGCATTCTTGATAATCATTATCCAAAATCTAAGATATTTCAGTTTCTAAAATTAATATCCCGGATATTGCCTTCTATTACTCAAAAAGCCCCTACTAAAGGGGCCCTTACTGTTTTTACTGATGGATCTAGTAATGGAAAAGCCTCATTTGCAGGAGCTCAAAAACAAGTTTTGCAAACTGACTTTGCTTCTGATCAAAGGGCTGAACTTATGGCTGTGATAACAGTGTTAAAAACTTTTAAACAGCCAGTAAACATTGTTTCTGATTCAGCCTATGTAGTGCAAGCCACACAAAATATTGAACGTGCCTTAATTCAAAATGTGACTGATGAACAACTTAATCCTTTATTTCATTCTTTACAGCAAGCACTACAACAAAGGCATTCACCTTTCTATATCACTCATATGAGAGTACATACTAACCTCCCTGGCCCTTTAACTAAACTTAATCAAAGGGTGGATGCATTGGGGTCTGCAGCTTTTGCTGATGCACAGACATTTCATTCTTTAACCCATCTTAATGCTGCAGGCCTTAGGAAAAGATATGGTGTATCATGGAAACAAGCTAAAGAAATTGTGCAACACTCTTCTGCCTGCCAAGTCCTGCATTCGCCACATCAAGGAGCAGGAGTCAACCCTAGAGGTTTATCTCCAAACTCCATCTGGCAGATGGATGTAACACATATTCCTGCTTTTGGAAAATTGTCCTTTGTTCATGTTTCAGTAGATACCTATTCACATTTTATCTGGGCCACATGTCAAACAGGGGAGGCTACAACTTATGTTAAAAGACATCTTTTATCTTGCTTTTCTGTTATGGGAATCCCAGAAAAAATCAAAACTGATAACAGCCCAGGATACTGTAGTAAAGCCATGGCTACATTCTTTCAACAATGGAATATTGCCCATACTATGGGTATTCCATATAACTCACAAGGACAGGCAATAGTGGAAAGAGCTAATTGTACTTTAAAAACTCAAATACAAAAGCAGAAGGCAGGAGACCAGGAATATAAAACATTGCATATGCAATTGCATCTAGCTTTATTAAAATTAAATTTTTTAAATTTACAAAAAGATCAACTCATAGCAGCAGAACAACACCTGACAGGACAGAAGGAAAATAAAAAGGCTGGACAAGATACATGGTGGAGGGATGCACATACAAAGAACTGGGGAAAAGGAAAGATAATTACATGGGGAAGAGTATTTGCTTGTGTCTCGCCAGGTGACAATCAGGTGCCTGTGTGGGTGCCTGCCAAACATCTGAAGATCTATCATGGACCACAGCATCTAGTGGACCCACCTGTACAGTGTGAATTGAAAGTCTGAAAAGCCTCAATTTGCTGTCCCTGTGCCTTCTGTTAGAAGGGGCCTATTTCTCATGATCAGTGGCCTCCTGGCTACATCCACAAAAGTTTTTGCTTCTGTTTCAGTATATTTACTAATGTGGGGGTGAGGGTATGCTTGTGTTTTTGCAGGAGATGAATGAACCGTGTGGATGCCCTCAAGATGTGTATGACCATGGAACAGGAGACTGGAGGGACCCATGGACCACAACCATGGACCACAACCATGGACCAGGTTCCCCCAGTATGAGCCATGAGCCAGTTGAATCTGAATGCGAAGATGGAACGAAGACTGACCAGAGTCACGATGCTTAATGAACCAATGCTTTCTGACTCAGCTTCTCTCTGCCCTGAATACAAGAGACCCTAATAGTTAGGCAGGAATATCATTGCCCCTATTCAGCATGAAGAAGTTACAGAAGACGGACCTTCATCCTTCTGCAACCCCTAGGATTAAGGGTCCTCTTGTAAAAGGGAAAGGGGAGACATGTGGGACGCATTCAAACCACAGATACTCCAGTTTGAATAGGGGCTAAGAAAAATGAAGCTGGATCACCAACTGGCAATTAAGCACTGCACAGCCTGCAATTGCCTTGCTCAATTAAAAGAGGCCATGTTTTATGCTAGTAATAATGATAGTAATAATGATACCTTCTCTTTTACAAAAAAGAGAAGGGGGGCATGTTAGGAAAAAGCTGCCTGTTGGGAAAAAAGCTGAGGCAGGGCTTGCATGTCTGACATAATGTCCTCTGGAATGTGTCTAGACTTGCTGGCTCCTTGCTTCTAGCCCTCCTTGGCTCCTAGATCAATTGTATTTCCATTATCTCAAGTAGCAGAAGATGTACCATATCAATGCTAAACCATCACAGCTGTAGATCATATGCCTACCCTTTTGACCCCCACATTCTCACGACCTGTTTCTTTGTTGGATTACCAATAAATAGCTTGGGCTCCCAGAGGTTGGGGCCTTCACAGCCTCCACAATCACGATGGCCCCCTGGTCCCACTTTCCTTTTCAAACTTTTTCTCAATCCTTTGATTCCACCGGACTTTGTCACCCCATGACCAGGTGTTGGGTCTGATCACCACAACACTGCTGTGGCTGAATACTTCAAAATTATTAACTTTTGTACCTATTTGATCCTCTTTTCTTTGATTCAATTGATATAGTCTTATCACCTTTAAAATACAGGCACTAAATTAGGCTTAATATTCCCAGTCAATGAAAATATACTATGTTTTAAAGAATCTAGGCCAGGAATGGTGGCTCACACCTGGGATTAAAGTGCTGTAATCCCAGCACTTTAGGAGGCCAAGGCAGGCAGTTCATGAGGTCAGGAGATTGAGACCATCCTGACTAACATGGTGAAACCCCGTCTCTACTAAAAATACAAAAAAATTAGCCGGGCATGGTGGTGGGCAACTTTAGTCCCAGCTACTCGGGAGGCTGAGGCAGGAGAATGGCGTGAACCTGGGAGACGGAGCTTGCAGTGAGCTGAGATCTTGCCACTGCACTCCAGCCTGGGCGACAGAGCAAGACTCTGCCTCAAAAAAAAAACCAAAAAAAAAAAAAGAATCTAGAGGCCAGGTGTGGTGCTTCACACCTGTAATCCCAGCACTTTGGGAGGCCAAGGAGGGTGTATCACGTGAGGTCAGGAGTTGGAGACTAGCCTGGCCAAAATTGCAAAACCCCATCTCTACTAAAAATACAAAAGTTAGCCAGGTGTGGTGGCATGCACCTGTGGTCCCAGCTACTTGGGAGGCGGAGGCAGGAGAATAGCTTGAACCCAGCAGGCAGAGGTTGCAGTGAGCTAAGATCATGCCACTGCACTTCAGCCTGAGCGATAGAGCAAGACTGTCTAAAAAAAAAAAAAAAAAGAAGAATCTAGGGAATAAAATTTCAATTATCCTCCAAAATACTACTCAAATTGTATTCACTGCCCCATTATTGAGAAATATATTTAAATATCTTTCCTTAATAATTTACACTACAAAATAATTGTATGAAAAAGCTGAAGACTAAAGGAAAAGCATGATCCTGTAAAACCCTTCACAGTAGGTATGATTACAAAATAAGGGGATGAATTTTGAACAAACTTGTCAGAAAGTATATGCTTCTTTCAAACAGTTTCCCAGGGAGGAGATGCATTGTATCAGTAATGTTGCTCATACCACAAATGAGGAAACTTCTGAGACCCAGTAAGGCTTGGATAAGTGAATCTCAAATGGGGGTTAAAATGAACCATAGGCAAAACGGAGTCCTCCCTAAGGAGAGATAACCAGGACCTCCAGCACAATGTATAATTTGTAACAAAAGCATATTAAAGATTAATATTCTTAATTATTATTAATATTAATGTCACAGGATCCTTGACTGTCACTTTCCAGCCACAAACCTCTATGGTCAGTGGTGCCTTTGCCCAAGTTTTGCTCAGGCCCACTGGGTTTGGTAGGCTACACTCAGCTCACACTACCAGCTTGGATATCATGCCTTCTAAGGGCCAGCCAGACATGGAGTGGTGAAGGGTGTGTGAGTGAGTGAGTGTGGGGTCCAGCTACTGTGCACAAGGCATGCTGGTTACAGTGGGGTGGGCATCTCCAGGTGCCAGCATGGACACTAGCTTCCTGTGAGGCTTTGGCCGAACCAGGAGTACTGTAAGCAGCTTCCACAGCTGGCACTGGGGAATGCGGTTGCACCCAGAAGCTTGGAGATGCCAGGAACCACAGAGCCCCAAAAAAGGAGCCACAGCCCTGGCTCAGGGAGCTGCTAGGTCTGGGCTCTCTGAAGGGCCACAGTTCTTCTCTCCATCTCTCTTCCCTCCTTCTCATCACCTGCAACATAGTGAGCAAGGGATGTGTTTCAGCTCTGCCATTTGGCAGGTCTTGAGTTCTTGTCCCATGTCCAGGAAGAAGGGGGCATGTAGACAAGTGGAGGGTGAGCAAGGTGAAGAGGTGCTTTATTGAGTGACAGAACAGCTCAGAGGAGACCCACAGTGGGTAGCTCCTCTCCACAGGCAACAGGCAGGTTCATCCCAACGTCTGTTCAGCTCTTAGCAGAAAAGAAACCCATGGTGGGTAGCTCCTCTCAGCAGACAGGTTGTCCCAACATCTGCCCAAATCTGGCTGAGTCCAGGGTTTTTATGGGCTTCAGAGGGGAGGAGGTGTGTGCTGATTGGTCCATGGATGGCCATGGGTGGGTCCATATAAAGCACTATAAGTTCTCACTCTGGTCCACAGAACTGGCAACCTGGCCCCCAGGCCTCAGGCCATCCGTGGACTGAAGGTAGGGTTTCACCAGCAAACTGCCCCTTTCCAACCAGGAGCCTGTCTGCCTCCTGCCACCATTAACCTGCTGTCCACAATGCCCACAGTGCCCAGGCCGTTCATGCTGAGGGGTACCTACAGGCTAGCACCAAGCTGCCCTCAGCACCTACTCCGCCTCCCTCCCATGCTCATCAGCACCCAAAGTCTGGAGGGAGCCAAGGTGGCAGGGGGCTGGCCTGTCAGTGCTGCCCCGAGCATGTGCACATCTGGCCGGCTTGTGACAGCGCTGGGGCTGGGCCTCAGCTTTGCTCCAAAATCAGAGCAGGTGCCTGTAGCGGGGAGAGTCCAGGCTGCAGGAGCACGCACTTCTGAGTCTGCTGAAGCGCGGGGGCTTCCTGGGCCCCTGAGAGTGCAGAGATGCCCGGGTCCCCAGCTGCAGCTGGATAGCTGCAGTTACAGGGGCTCCTACCTGCTCCTGGCCCCCAAGAGCACAGGGATGCCCAGGTCCAGAGCCATGGGTGGGCAGCCACAGCTGCACTCCAGAGCTCAAGGCTCCAGCCCTGCCAACTCAGAAAGGGGGTGGGGCTTCTGCCTGTTTCAGCTCCTGCCAGCTCCATGAAGCACACAGCCCCAGCCACGCCTCCCTCGCTGCAGCCAGTGTCATGGCAGTGGCCACTCCAGACAGGCCCACACTGCCATTAATATCCAAATACATATTTAAACTAATTAGAATTAATTTTGTTTATTCATTTTAAGTAATAGTAAAGGAAAGCATGAAATTTTTTTAAAAAGCTTAATCAAAATGGCCATGTGTTAAATCTGCTAAATAGTCAGTCATTCTAAATCTATATTATTAAAACTCAGTTTTTCTCCAATGGTGTATGCTAATAAACATAATTTAGTAGTATATTATAAGTATTATTTAGGCTAATTTCAATGAAATAATTTAGTATTATAAAGCAGATTGCTAGCTGGGCGTGGTGGCTTATGTCTGTAATCCCAGCACTTTGGGGGGCCGAGGTGGGCAGATCACCTGAGGTCAGGAATTCGAGACCAGCCTGGCCAACATGGTAAAACCCCATAAATACAAAAATTAGCTGGGCACGGTGGCGCCCACCTGTACTCCCAGCTACTCCAGAGGCTGAGGCCAGAGAATCACTCAAACCTAGGAGGCGGAGGTTGCAGTGAGCCAAGATCGCACCACTGTACTCCAGCCTGGGCAACAGAGTGAGACTACATCTCAAAAAATAATAATAAAATAAGAAATAAAATAAATGAGATTGCTTACACAAAGGTATGTAACACTTTTTTTTTTCTTTTAGACAGAGTATCACTCTTTTCACCCAGGCTGGAGTGCTGTGTCTCAGTCTCAGCTCACTGCAACATCTACCTCCTGGGTTCAAGTGATTCTCCTGCCTCAGCCTCCCAAGTAGCTGGGATTATAGGCACCCGCCACCACTCCCAGCTAATTTTGTGTTTTTAGTAGAGATGGGGTTTCACCAGGTTGGCCAGGCTGGTCTCGAACTCCTGACCTCAGGTGATCTGACTGCCTTGGCCTCCTAAAGTGCTGGGATTACAGGCATGAGCCTCTGTGCCCAGCCAACACATTTTTTAAACATGTTGAGATGGATAATACTAAAATTGCGGTTCTTGATTGCAGTGATATGTGATAATGTGTAATTTATTTGATAATCTCATCATTAGAGCTGCGAGCATATTACCACTTGTAATAAATAAAAGAAAGTCATTTTTCTCGTTTTAATTTTTTCTTAAAGTGGTATCATAGTTATTAATTTTCTAGGAAGTTATCATTGAAACATATGACATGTAATTTGCAAAAGTTATATCCAAACCCATATTTCAAGAACTTTCTTGTCATATCTTAGATTCAAAATAAAGATCCATTGAAAAGACCTCTTCTCTGTGTGGCTCTTCCTGAATACTTGGACAGCTTCCACAGCTATGGACACTATAAAGCAAAAAGTGGGCAACAGCCAGGTCATTTTACATGTTGGATTGATGTGATTTATAGTGCGGAGAGACTCAGGTGGGAGCAGAGGAGTCCTAAAGAAAACTGCCCATTATCCTAATGATTTATTGGATATTTATCTATTGATCATCTCTGTGGTTTTCTATTTGTTGGTTGGTTGGCTAGTTTTATGTTTGTTTTTTGAGGTTTTTTTTTTCTGTTTTCTCCAGATTCTAAGGTCTACTGACAAAAGGAGTGTTTGGCTGAAAGAAGCCAACTAATATCCATTTAAGGTGGATCTTCTCTCTAGTCTTTACAAATCCAAGGACATCTTAGAGGCCAAAAAAAGGTGGTGGGGGAGGGACATTTCAAGAGTATAACCTCAAAGTCAGAGAGACCTAGATTCCCACATTATGAACCATAGAACATTCGACAAATTACAGGCATGCCTCATTTTACAGCACTTCATTTTATTGCGTTTCACAGATATTGTGCTTTTTACAAATTGAAGCTTTATGGTAACCCTTCATTGAGCAAGTCCATTGACACAATTTTCCCAAAAGCTCGCTTCATGTCTCTGTGTCATATTTTGGTAATTCTCACAATATTTCAAATCTTTTCATTATTATTACATCTGTTAAGATGATCTGTGATCAGTGATCTTTGATGTTACTATTGTAATTGTTTTGGGACACCAAAAACCACATATCTATATAAAACAGCAAACTGAATCAATAAGCATCATGTGTTCTGACTGCTCCACCAACAGGTCGTCTCCCTACAACCCTCTTACCTGCTCCCCATAATCAGGCCTCCTGTTTCCTGAAACCCAGCAATATTCAAGTTAGGCCAATTAATAACACTACAGTGGTCTCTGAGTGTTCAAGTGAAGAGTCAAATGTGTTTCACTTTAAATCAAAAGCTAGAAGTGATTAAACTTAAGGCATGCTGAAAGGCAAGATAGGCTGAAAGCTAGGCCTCTTGCATCTACAGTTAGCCAAGCTGTGAATGCAAAGGAAGCATTATTGAAATCAATTTAAAGTTCTATGCCAGTGAACCCACAAATGATAAGAAAGTGAAACAGCCTTATTGTTGATATAAAGAAAGTTTTAGTGGTCTGGATAAATCTAACCAGCCACAATATTCCCTTCAACCAAAGCCTAATCCAGTTCAAGACCCTAACTCTCTTTAATTCTATGAAGGCTGAGAGAGGTGAGGAAGCTCCAGAAGAAAAGTTCGAAGCTAGTGGAAGTTGGTTCCTGAGGTTTAAGGAAAGAAGCCATCTCCATCCCATAAACAAGTGCAAGGCAAATCGGTTTCTTGAGATGGAATCTACTTCTGGTAAAGATGCCGGGAAGATACTGAAATGAAAACAAAGCATTTAGAATATTCCATAAACTTAGTTGATAAAACAGCAGTAGAGTTTGAGAGGATTGACTCTAACTTTGAAAATACTGAGAGGTGACAGCATGCTGGCAGTCCTCAGAGCCCTCGCTTGCTCTCGGCACCTCCTCTGCCTGGGCTCCCACTTTGGCGGCATTTGAGGAGCCCTTCAGCCCCCCACTGCACTGTGGAAGCCCCTTTCTGGGCTGGCCAAGGCTGGAGCCCACTCCCTCAGCTTGCAGGGAGGTGTGGAGGGAGAGGCACGAGTGGGAACAGGGGCTGCGTGCGGCGCTTGCAGGCCAGCTGGAGTTCCGGGTGGGCGTGGGCTTGGTGGGCCCCACACTCGGAGCAGTCGGCCAGCCCTGCTGGCCCCAGGCAATGAGAGACTTAGCACCCGGGCCAGCAGCTGCGGAGGGTGTACTGGGTCCCCCAGCAGTGCCAGCCCACCGGCGCTGTGCTCGATTTCTCACCGAGCCTTAGCTGCCTTCCCACAGGGCAGGGCTCGGGACCTGCAGCCCTCCATGCCTGAGCCTCCCACCCACTCCGTGGGTTCCTGTGCGGCCCGAGCCTCCCCAAGGAGCACCAACCCCTGCTCCACGGCGCCCAGTCCCGTCGACCGCCCAAGGGCTGAGGAATGCAAGCGCACGGCACAGGACTGGCAGGCAGCTCCACCTGCAGCCCCTGTGCGGGATCCACTAGGTGAAGCCAGCTGGGCTCCTGAGTCTGGTGGGGACGTGGAGAGTCTTTATGTCTAGCTCAGGGATTGTAAATACACCAATCGGCACTCTGTATCTAGCTCAAGGTTTGTAAACACACCAATCAGCACCCTGTGTTTAGCTCAAGGTTTGTGAATGCACCAATCAACACTCTGTATCTAGCTGCTCTGGTGGGGCCTTGGAGAACCTGTGTGTCCAAACTCTGTATCTAACTAATCTGATGGGGACGTGGAGAACCTTTGTATCTAGCGCAGGGATTGTAAATGCACCAATCAGCACCCTGACAAAACAGGCCACTCGGCTCTACCAATCAGCAGGATGTGGGTGGGGCCAGATAAGAGAATAAAAGCAGGCTGCCCGAACCAGCATTGGCAACCCACTCGGGTCCCCTTCCATACTGTGGAAGCTTTGTTCTTTCGCTCTTTGGGTCCGCGGTGCTTTTATGAGCTGTAACACTCACCGCGAAGATCTGCAGCTTCACTCCTGAACCCAGCGAGACCGCGAGCCCACCGGGAGGAACAAAAAACTCCAGACGCGCTGCCTTAAGAGCTGTAACACTCACCGCGAAGGTCTGCAGCTTCACTCCTGAGCCAGCGAGACCACGAACCCACGAGAAGGAAAAAACTCCGAACACATCTGAACATCAAAAGGGACAGACTCCAGACGCGCCACCTTAAGAGCTGTAACACTCACCGCGAGGGTTCGCTGCTTCATTCTTGAAGTCAGTGAGACCAAGAACCCACCAATTCCGGACACAGTACTACTTTGAATTCATAGATTCATTATAGAAAAAAAAAAGTGTCATTGCACACAAGCTAATGTCTAAATTTCTCCAGCTCTAAAATTCAGACTTCGGAGTCAAATTGTGAAGTCTTCTATCTCAGGATGACAAGAAAACTATGGGAAATACCTCTGTTGGTAGGTCTGGCAATCATTTCTGTATATTTTTCCTCAGTATTTTTTATAGTGAAAGTGAGCATTCTTCACTGGCCTGTGTAATTGCTAAGTGTTACAGTGGTCTTTCATTCCTAATCTGCTGGGATACTACAGAGACAGCCTTGCAAATACAGGCGTCTTACTATAACTGATTAACATATAGTAATGGCTGTCATTCACTAAGTATGTTTGTATGCAAGATGTGCTTTTATATATATCTCATTTACTCTTGTGCTTTTTACTCTTATGAATGACTCTGTGCTTTGTATATATGTCATTTACTCTTCACGGCAACCAAGCTGCTATTACATCCATTTTACAGATGAGGTAACTGAGAACTCAGGAGAGGTTAAGTAATTAACCAAATATCACACGGCTCATTAAAAGCTTGGTAGGAATTCGAACGCATTCTTTTAGCAGCTGCAATCTATTCCCTGCTAATTAGATATTTACCTAATTGTATGAAAGGGAAGTGTTATTAATGTTGTGATTCAAAATCAGGAGTTTTGATCTTTTCGAATTTATCTAATGGTTCAGAACTGGATTCACTTTTCTTTTTTGCGTTAGGGAAGAAGGCAGCTAATTGCTCTGGCTGGGACTCCCAGTTTAAAAAAAAAAAAGCCGGTGACGACAGCCTAGGTTTAAATTCAACTCTACATTTATACTATGATCTCAAGTGGTTTGCTTAGTTTCTCTTAATTCTTTATTTCTTCATTCATATAATAGAGATTTCTATTGAACCTACTGCTTAAGGTTATTGAGAAGATAAAATGAAATGTGTTAGGTGAGGGCTGAGAGAGGTGAGGAAGCTCCAGAAGAAGCATATGCCTGGCCATAGTAAGTAAGTGTTCAAGACACTGATGAAAGACCCCTATTCTTCTGGTTCAAGTTAGGGTTTAAAAAAAAAAATTAAAGAAAAATACCCCCTTATCCTTATCTTTTTTTTTTTTTTTTAAATACTATTTCAACTTCTGGGAAGGCAGCATGTAATTAAGATGCCCCACATAGGCTGGGTGCAGTGGCTCGCACTTGTAATCCTAGCACTTTGGGAGGCCAAGGCCGGTGAATTGGTTGAGCCCAGGAGTTCAAGACCAGCCTCTACCAGGGTAGGGACACCCTGCCTCTATCAAAAATACAAAAATTAGCTAGTCTCATAATCCGGTCTCAAAATAAATAGATAAAAAATTTTTTAAAAAACAGATGTCCCAAGTACAAAATATTTTAAACCCTACCAATGAAAGATGTTTTTTAAAACCACAAATACATAAAATCACATAGTGGTCAGATAGAAGCTAATCTGTGTTCTAACTGTGAATGATTTTAATTGTAAACATCTAGTTTGCTGTTCACAAAATCATGTTACAACCATCATTCACAAGACCATTCACATCACTCACATTCTATTGGTGTTAATTATAATTTACATAAAGTTGAATAGTTGATAAAGCAATGTGCTTTCTATTAACTCGTTTGAACGTCACAAGAATCCTGTAGGGTAAGTATTATTTCAATTTTACAAATTTAGAAACATGTTTAGAGAGATGAAGTCACATACACATAAGGGATTCAGGTACGACTGCGTCCAAATGCTGTGTTCTTTCCCTTAACCAATGAAACCTTGATCAACTGTAGGTTAAAACTACCCAGTTTTTTTTAATTAATAGAATGGAATAAGAAATAGCATAGCCAGACCGTGTGCCATGGCTCACGCCTGTAATCCCAGCACTTGGGAAGACCAAGGTGGGTGGAACAGGAGATCGAGATTGAGACCATCCTAGCCAACATGGGGAAACCCTGTCTACTAAAAATACAAAAATTAGCTGGGTGTGGTGGTGCGTGCCTGTAGTCCCAGCTACTTGGGAGGCTGAGGCAGGAGAATCGCTTGAACCTGGGAGGTGGAGGTTGAGGTTGCTGTGAGCCAAGATTTCGCCACTGCACTCCAGCCTGGAGACAGAGGGAGACTCCTTTAAAAAAAAAAAAAATAGCATAGCTAGAGCCTCAATATATGAAACTCAACATAGTTGAAACACTTCTTATAGTAGATCACCATGTCAGATGTAATTTATTCCTGTAGGTGTTGGACCAAAAAATTGACAAACACTGAACATATGTGTAGCCCCAGTTACACTTTTACTCACTGTGTAGATTTTAAAGTTGATCTAACAGATTTATTCATTTACAGTATAGGTATAAATATATCCTGACTCTACTTTTCTCTATTTCCTAGGAGGCTTTTGAAAATCAAATGAAATAATATATGTGGAAGAACACTTTGTAAACTTTCTATACAAGTGTTTTGTAAATTTGGATTTGGAGGCTATCCAAAAAAAAGTTGTAGATATTCTGAATTCAAAGAATTCTATAATGGGGTTCACTTTTGTGAGGCTGCCACTATCCCTTCATCCCCTATAACAACGTATGGCTGCTTAAGTAAGAGGGACAATCGAGTTTGAACTATTTGTGAACTTTGATTTTTTTGTGTGATCTTTCTGGCTCTTAAATATGAAAGTTGACTATTGTCACACAACAAAGTCCCTTCCCAAGCACTGGAGTGTCTTGCGCAAAACCCAAATCCAATGTCTGTCAAAAATGAGTTGGAAAAAAATGCATGCAATACCATTATTAAGCTCTTACTGGACACAAGCCCTAGTTAGGTCTTTTCTTCCAGTAACCAATCTCTAGAATTTTTTCAAGTCACTAGTTAGCATATACTGAATACCCATTTATATAGGCTACAAAACCAAATGTTACATAGGTAATCTTTAGGCTAAATGATTTGCTATTTATTCACTTGAATAAAGATAAAATTCCTAAAGTACAACATATATTTTTTATTTTCAAACTCTAATAGGTCAAGTGAAAAATGATTATTCAAATATACTCTTCTTTCTTGTGGAAACAATCCCTTTAATACGATAACAATTTTTTCTGGCGCTTGATTGAAGCTGTCCTTGAACAGACAAAATTTCCCCTGTCTTCCAGAAATCGTGCTTAGTTCAAACTAAAATGTGATGTAGCGCAATTTCTCAGCTGGAAGCAGAACGATTGGTCTTTTCAGGATCCTTTAAGATAGGAATCTACATTTGCATCCTCTATCTAGTTTTTGTTTTTTAGGACAAAGTCTGGCCTTTTCGTCCAGGCTGGAGTGCAGTGGCGCGATCTTCACTCACTGTAGCCTCCACCTCCTGGACTCAAGCAATTCCCGTGCCTCAGTCTCTCGAGTAGCTGGAACTACAGGCACACGCCACTACGCCTGGCTAATTAAAAAAAAAAAAAAAGAGACCGGGGGTCTCCCTATGTTGTTCAGGCTGATCTCGAACTCCTGGGGTCAAGCGATCCTCCCGCCAGGGCTTCTCAAAGTGCCAGGATCACAGGCGAGAGCCGCCGCGCCCAGCGGCACCCCCTATCTAGTGATAAGCAACCTTCAACTATGAAAGAAGCATCTGGCCTGTGGACACTGTCGGTTATCCTTGGAACTTATCCAATTTAGGAAAACAAGTGAGCAACTAACCCTCCAAGGCCGGCTCACGACACCGGGAGA
Organism: Homo sapiens; assembly: GCF_000001405.40. Classification (NCBI taxonomy): domain Eukaryota; kingdom Metazoa; phylum Chordata; class Mammalia; order Primates; family Hominidae; genus Homo; species Homo sapiens. Next base: position 87,391,389 of record NC_000004.12, on the reverse strand, counting down.
AAGTGGTGTAAAAGACAATCGCGGCCACACACCGCGTGGGGGCTGCGCAAAGCAGAACTAGGAAGCTTTGCTCCGGTCTGGACTTCGTCCCTCCCAGATCTCTGAGCTAGCAAGCACTGCAGCCCGAGCCAATTGCGAAAGACCAACAAAGCCCAGCCCAGCGGAAGGAACGGTTTCGGAGTTGTTTTTCTTTGATACGGGAGTTCCTCCTTGCTCTCGCCCCTACTCTTTCTGGTGTTAGATCGAGCTACCCTCTAAAAGCAGTTTAGAGTGGTAAAAAAAAAAAAAAACACACCAAACGCTCGCAGCCACAAAAGGGATGAAATTTCTTCTGGACATCCTCCTGCTTCTCCCGTTACTGATCGTCTGCTCCCTAGAGTCCTTCGTGAAGCTTTTTATTCCTAAGAGGAGAAAATCAGTCACCGGCGAAATCGTGCTGATTACAGGAGCTGGGCATGGAATTGGGAGACTGACTGCCTATGAATTTGCTAAACTTAAAAGCAAGCTGGTTCTCTGGGATATAAATAAGGTAACAGTGTTTACTATGTTTTACTTTCTGGTACCTTTAATTTGTGGATGTGTCTGCATTTTGCTGGCAACCACCCTTTACCTCATCTCTGCAAAGCAGGGAGGAAAAAAAAATTAGTATTGCCATTTTGCAGATGGGAGGGCATGAATTAATATGTTGTATGATCACATGATAAACAGACCTAGAGGTTATAATAGTCCCAGTTACTGCCCCATTTGTAAATTGATCCCCATTTTTGCCCTAAGGATAACTCATAATTTTTTCCTGAACCTGATTTCATTGATCCCTCTATTTTAAAAATAGGGAAAAAACAATCGTTTTAGCTATATATTAAAAGAGTAAGAAGCTTGTACCTATTAAGAGAAAGTCCTACTTACTGTTAATGAGAAAAGTGGTTTGAAAGATTATACTCGCCGTTGGCTCACGCCTGTAATCCCAGCACTTTGGGAGTCCAAGGCAGGCGGATCGCGAGGTCAGGAGATCGAGACCATCCTAACACACTGAAACCCCGTCTCTACTAAAAATACCAAAAAAAAATTAGCCGGGCGTGGTGGCGGGCGTCTGTAGTCCCAGCTATTGGGGAGGCTGAGGCAGGAGAATGGCGGGAACCCCGCGGGGCGGAGGTTGCAGTGAGCCAAGATGGCGCCACTGCACTTCAGCCTGGGCGACAGAGCTAGACTCCGTCTCAAAAAACAAACAAAAAGATTATACTCAACAGAAACCAATGCTACATTGCCATAGTTATTGCCAAGAGTAATTTTAAAAAGCATCTTTTCCGGGAGGCTGAGGTGGGGGGTTGCTTGAGCCTGGGAGGTGGAGACTGCAGTGAGCTGTAAACGCCCCACTGCACTCCAGCCTGGGTGACAGAGTGAGACCCTGTCTCAAATTTTTTTAAAAAACATTTTTTACCACGTTTGACCTGTGATACTGAAGGAGTGGCGGGAAAGCATCTTTTAGTAAAAACAATAAAAGGGAAAAAAACTTTCAGTGTAATTTTTTACCTAGGACAAGTGTAGGTGTGGCTTAGGGAGGAGAAGAGGACCTAGAATCCAACCTTTTATTTGACCTTTGGTAGATGAACAAAGGGGTTTCTAGAAGATACCTGATGGCCTGAAACATTATCCATTACACACTAGTTGACATGCAATGCTGTAAACAATAATTCAAAGGATGTGAAGTTAAATGAGGGTTAACCCAGTGAGTGGCTGATGAAGACAGCAATCAACAAATAATGACTGTCTGCTGCTTAGACATTAGGGATAGGGTGACAAACAGAAAATAAGGTTCCATGACCTCAGTCTAGTAGGGAAAATGGACATTAAGTAATTACAAGTGCAGGCTGGATGCGGTGGCTCACACTTGTAATCCCAGCACTTTTGGAGGCCGAGGCGGGCAGATGACCTGAGGTCAGGAGTTCAAGACCAGCCTGGCTAACATGGTGAAACCCCATTTCTACCAAAAATACAAAAAATTAGTTGAGCGTGGTGGCGTGTACTTGTAATCCCAGCTACTCATGAGGCTGAGGCAGGAGAACTGCTTGAACCTGGGAGGCAGAGGTTGCAGTGAGCCGAGATCATGCCATTGCATTCCAGCTTGGGCAACAAGAGCAAAACTCTGTCTTAAAAATAAATAAATTAATTAAATTAAATTAATAAATAAAAAAGTAATTACAAGAGCAATGAAAAATACAACCCAGGTCCAGCCTGGACCAGCATGGTCAAGGTCTGGCATGGTGATATAGTCAGACACATCTGAGCTTTCGTTTTCTGATTGGGTAACTTACTCAACGTTTCCACAGCTTTAGTTCCTTTTCTGCAAAATGGATAAAATAACAATACATACCTCAAAAAGCTGTCAGTATGATATGAGATAATGCATACAAAGCATTTAGCACAGTGTGGTATAAGGTAAACACACTGCAGTGTTCTTATTATTCCTTGACAAAGTGTGGTTTAAGCTAAAATTTAAATGTATGTAAGAGTTAGTTAGGTTAATGACTTCCAATGTCCAGTGCTGGTTTGTACAAAATTTTCTCTGATCTTCAGTGACATGCATTTATCCAACAAATATTTATTGAGCACCTATTATCTGTTAGGCACTGTTCTAATGCAGAACTGAGGATATAGCACTGAGGAAGACATGAGCCTCATGAGCTAGGGGCAGTATGCCACACTGTATAATAAAATGTATAATTGTTAGATGGTGTTAAGCATAAAGAAAAAAATAAAAGGTGAAAGTAGATAAAAGACTCTATATGGTGGGGAGGGTAGGAGGGGAGTGTTGACTTTACAGTGGTGGCCAGGAAGGCCCCACTGAGATGGAGATAATTGAATCAATATCAGAAGAAGCTGAGAGCACAGTGAGTCCTGCAGGGAGGGATCAGCAAATGCAAAGCCTGGCATAGACTGAGGGAAGGGAGAGAAGCACAAGAAAGGTCTAGATCTACTCTGTGCAACACAGTGGTAGGTAGTAGCCCCTAGCCTCTTGTGGCTCTTGAGCCTTTCAAAATGTGGCCAGTCTGATTTGAGATGCACTGTGAGTGGAAATACATGCTGGATTTTGCAGACTTAGTATGAAGAAAAGAATGTAGAATTTTGTGTTAATAATTTTTATATAGTATACATGTTGAAATGATAATTACTTAGATATGTTGGGTTAAATAAAATATGCCACTAGATTGTTTTTTTTTTTTTTGGTGTGACTACTAGAAAGATTAAAATTATATACATGGCTTGCGTTATATTTCTATGAGACAGTACCGGTGTAGAGATTTAAAGGGCTGGAGCTACAGATGATAAAATTTCCTGTATTTTGGCTTTTTACTCTGGGGAGTCAATGAAGGGTTTTGAGGGTAATTCCTATTGAAGAGGATCCTCCAGCTGCTGGGCTTAGGAGAGATGTAAGAGGAGAAAAGATGGAAGGAACAAGTAAAGTAAGAGACTACTGTGATAATCCAGGCATGAGATGAAATGATGGGGACTATTGAACCGGGTTGGCAGTAGCAGAGATTCGGAGTAATGGTCAGAAAAATTGAGGACAATGTAGTGAGTTTTTATTAGGTTAAATTAGTTTAATTTAAATAATCTATATTTTATTTTGAGATTATATCCTTCCTACTTTTTGTGGGTAAAAAATATATTTGTTAATGAAATTACATGATAACATATGAGGGTCATTTTGTTAGTTTTGAGTGTCCTTATTTGGCCAAAAGTTTGGCAATCCTAGTTCGGTATACACATCCCACTCTATTTTTCTTGCCGTTTTATAGATTTGAAATTATAGAAGGCTGAGAACCACTAAACCTGATTGGGAAAGGACAGGGTGGGGATTTGGAGCAGTCCAGGTAGCAGAAACTGGAGATGTGAAGCTCTTGGGCTGGTGAATACCTGGAGAATGAGGAAGAAAGTGGAGTGGTGTTTGATTGTTATGAGATCTAGCTGGCAGGGCAGGGAGGGGCCAAACGGAGGGCCCTTTCACCTAGAGTACAAAGACAATCTCTTAGATTCATCCATGTAATGAGGACAGCAGTGTCCACATGTACCATATGTTAATTTAGGGAAGAATTAATGGTGGTGTCAGCTTTGTTGTTCCACTAAGCCTGATAATGGGAATTATTCATTCTGCTTTGTGATAATCTATCACTTCTTGACTATTCTCATTCCCATGCTTGGTTAGAATAGTTTGTAGCCAGGCATGGTGGCATGCTTCAGTAGCCCCAGCTACTCAGGAGGCTGAAGCAGCAAGATTGCTTGAGGCCGGGAGTTCTGGACTGTGGTGCGCTCTGCATGTCTGCATAAGTTCAGAATCAATATGGTACCTTCTGGCGGTGGGCATGAAGGAGACCAAGTTGTCTAAGGAGGGGTGAACCAGCCAGGTTGGAAACGGAACAGGTCAGAGCTCTGGTGCTGTTCAGTAGTGGGATCATGCCTGTGAATAGCCACTGCACTCAACCTGCGCAACAGGGAGACCCTTTTTCCTAAAATACTAGTTTGGAAAGAAAAATTTACAGTAAGTGGTGAGCATATAATATATGCTCAAAGACTATTTGTTGAATGAAAAACTGAATTAATGAATAACTGAAAGAATAATGGGCATAATTTAAAAAGTTTTTCAATTTTTAGTAATCAAGGTAATGGGTGTAAAGGTCTTAGTTGTACCAATAGACAAACATATTTGAAAAAAGTTACCAAGGGAAATCTTGAAGAGTTATGAGCAATTGTACTGTGCTGCAAAACATTTTAAAGGAAGAATTCATTTTTTTTTTGAAGATCTGCTTATTTTTTATTTCTTACCAACTATCTACAGGGCACTGTCCGGAATTTTTTCTGGAGGAATTTAGAACTTAAATTTGTTGCACCGGCCGGGTGCAGTGGCTCACCCCTGTAATCCCAGCACTTTGGGAGGCCGAGATGGGAGGATCACTTGAGGCCAGGGGTTCAAGGCCAGCCTGGGCAACATGGTGAAACCCCGTTTCTCCTAAAAATATAAAAATTAGACGGGTGTGGTGGCGCATGCCTGTAATCCCAGCTACTAGGGAGGCTGAGGCAGGAGAATCACTTGAACCGGGAAGGCAGAGGCTACAGTGAGCTAAGATTGCACCATTGCACTCCAGGCTGGGTGACAGAGCGAGACTCCATCTCAGAAAAAAAAAAAAAAGTTTCACAATTCAGAAGGTGTGGAAAGCAGACCAACCTAAATGAGGAAGACCAAGGAAACAGGGCAAAAGTGAGACAGCGGATGTGAAAGAAGGGTATCTTTGCATCCATATAGTGGAGTGGTGGTTAGTTGCTTGGTGGTTACAGAAAGCCAACCAGTAATAAGCAAATCTCTGAAAACAGAATAAATGGGACATAAATTTTTATTGTAAAATTTGTTCATGTAAGGAAATATATTTGTTCAAAAAAGAGAAGACCCAATCAATACAATATACTTTTTTTTTTTTTTTTGAGATAGAGTCTCGCACTGTTGCCCGGACTGGTGTGCGGTGGCAAAATCTTGGCTTGCTGCAACCTCTGCCTCCCGGATTCAAGTGATTCTCCTGCCTCAGCCTCCCAAGTAGCTAGGATTACAGGTGCCCACCACCACACCCAGCTAATTTTTTATATTTTTAGTAGAGGCAGGGTTTCACTATATTGGCCAGGCTATTCCCAGAATCCTGACCTTGTGATCTGCCCACCTCAGCCTCCCAAAGTGCTGGGATTACAGGTGTAAGCCACCGCACCTGGCCAATACAATATACTTTTAAAAAACTTTTTAAAATATGGTAAAATATATGACATAACACACCATTTTAACCATTTCTGAGTGTACAGTTTAGTGGCATTAAGTACATTTACCTTATTATGCAGTGATCTCTTCTATTTCTCTCCAGAAATTTTTCATCTTCCCAAGATGAAAATCTGTACCCATTAAAACAATATATCTCCCCAGCCCTCTCTCTCCCCAGGTCCTGGCAACAACCATTCTATTTTCTGTCTCTATGAATATGATACTCTGGGTACTGCATATAAGTACATTCATATGGTATTTGTTTTTTGTGTCTGGCTTATTTCATTTGGCATAATGAAGGTTGTACGTGTAGCATGTGTCAGAAATTCATTTCTTTTTAAGGCTGAATAATATTCTATCCTATGTGTATACAACATTAATATACTTGTAAAAGGAAATGCCAAAAGCTGCTGGTTAAGTATAGGAGAGCAAAATAAAGTTTACCTGAGATGTTGATGTCCCTTGAGGAATAAGAGTTCCTCATGAGAGTATACTACAGTTTGTGAGGGAGATTTCAGTAAAAGAAAAATATTGTGGGAACCTGCCCCCAATATTTCAATGTAGCTTCTTTCTATTTTCCATAAGTGTCAGCCGGCTGAGAAATAAAGAGAGACAGTATAAAGAGAAATTTTACAACTGGGCCGCTGGGGGTGACATCACGTATCATGATGCCCCTGAGCCTCAAAACCAGCAAGTTTTTATTAAGAGTTTCAAAAGGGGTGGGGGTGTAAGAACAGGGAGTAGGTACAAAGATCACATGCTTCAAAGGGCAAAAAGCAGAACTACTGATAAGGGTCTATGTTCAGTGGTGCACATATTGTCTTGATAAACATCTTAAACAACAGAAAACAGGGTTCGAGAGCAGAGAACCGGTCTGACCACAGATTTACCAGGGCAAAGTTTTTCCCCACCCTAATAAGCCTGATAGTACTGCAGGAGACCAGGGCGTATCTCAGTCCTTACCTCAACCACATAGGACGGACATTCCCAGAGCAGCCATTTATAGACCTCCCCGTAGGAATGCATTCCTTTCCCAAGGTATTAATGTTAATATTCCTTGCTAGGAAAAGAATTTAGCAATATCTCTCCTACTTGCACATCCGTTTATAGGCTGTCTGCAAGAAGAAAAATATGGCTCTTTTTTGCCCGACCCCACAGGCAGTCAGACCTTATGGTTGTCTTCCCTTGTTCCCTAAAAATCACTGTTATTCTGTTCTTTTTCAAGGTGCACTGATTTCATATTGTTCAAACACACATGTTTTACAATCAATTTGTACAGTTAACACAATTATCACAGTGGTCCTGAGGTGACGTACATCCTCAGCTTATGAAGATAACAGGATTAAGAGATTACAGGCATAAGAAATTATAAAAGTATTATTTGGGCACTGATAAATGTCCATATTAAAATGAAATCTTCACAATTTATGTTCTTTGCCGCGGCTCCAGCCGGTCCCTCCATTCGGGGTCCCTGACTTCCCACAGGAGAAAAAGAACTTGTTTCCCTTTATTATCATAACAGTTTCACTATGCAAGCTACTAATTCTCCCCACAGCTGTCCAGATTTGGCCTTTCCAACATTAGTTGCCATTTACAAATGTGTACACTGATTCACCATCCTCTCTGTGGATAAATGTATGAGTCCTCCTAGGGTCTGCCCATTAGTGCATTAGTTGACAATTATTAGGTTGATGCAAAAGTAATTGCAGTTTTTGTCATTAAACTAATGGCAAAAACAGCAATTACTTTTCCAACAACCTAATACTTGGCCTGCAGAATGCACAATACTAGATCTTCATCCAAAATATCTTTTGAGACATTCTCTTAAAAGTTAAAAAAAAAAAAAGGCAAAAATTGGCCAAAAGCAAACAAGCAAAGATAACAACAACAACAAAAAACCCCAATGGTATGATCCTAAACTTAAGTTGACTCAAAATTGGCGCCCCAAATTGGACTCATAACCCCTTTTCCTCAAATCTGCTGTCATCTCTGTCTGACATGTGGCAGCGTGATCTTGCCAGCTACCAAAACTAGAAAGCAAAGATGTCAGATGTGGCTCCTTCCCATCCTTCCTCATCTACTCACCAAGTCTTACTGATTTTACCTTCTAAACATATATTTTAAAGGATATTCTTTCCTCTACATTTTTTCTACTAATGCCACATTTCAAGTTTGTGTCATCTATTACCTGAATCACTGTAACTGCCTCTCAGTTTTTTTCTTCCTCCAGTGTTGACCCCTAAAATCCACCCTCCATACATCAGCCAAAATAATCAATACGACACATAAACCTGACACTATAATTTAATCAGTGGCTCCTCATTCATTTTTTGATAAATCTTAATATGACATGTGGGACCTTAATCTGAACTTCTTCTGGCCTTGACCTTTATGATCCATCCAACAACACTAATCCTACTAGTGGTTTCCACAAGACCAATCTCCTATCTGTCATTGCCCACACCCTGCCTGATGTGTCCTTTCACCCTGGGGAAAGCAAGTGAAAGGGCATGGCAAACCACTGCTGGAATTGTATTGTGTGCCCCTCTGTGTTCCCGTAACTCCCTGTATAGAACTCTGCTGTGATACTCATCACAATGTATTAGGTTGAAACTGCCAATATTCAATCTTTTATTATCAAAACAATAACAGTATTACGTGGTCCTACTTAACTATGATACTTATGTTTCTTTCTACTACACAGAGAACTTCTTGGGGTCGGGACTCTACCTCATTCATATTTGTGTCAAGGTTTTTCTAAGCTCAGTGAATATGACCTTCACATTAAAATGCTGAAAGAACAAATGGTTTAATGAACTGTGGTTAACTCATTATTTCTTTTGCAGACAGTAAACTGACATCCATGAATAGTTTTTAATGACATGGAAAAAAGTTTAATGTTACATTTTTTAAAGCCTGATATGGAATACACAGAGATACCAACATTCACAAAGTATTCAAAGTTCATAAATATAAAAACTAGTATTTTAAGATTTTTATCTTCTTTTAAGAAGCTTGCTTTAAATTCAGCTCCAAATAAAAGAAGCTAGTCAAAATACTAAAAGCAAAATGTGCCTATATACCTGCCAAAAATGTGTTGTTAACAATCTTGCCCAATTCAAATGGAAAGAATCTCACTACTTTTTAAAAATTATTTTTAATTATTTTCAGCTGTCGATATAATATGTTCATATCAATTATTACCTTGCCCTCTTTTTTGCTTTTTCTAGCATGGACTGGAGGAAACAGCTGCCAAATGCAAGGGACTGGGTGCCAAGGTTCATACCTTTGTGGTAGACTGCAGCAACCGAGAAGATATTTACAGCTCTGCAAAGAAGGTGAAATGTTGTGTTTAGTTAGAATCATATCATGTTAGAGCTAGGAGGTGTTTTGGAGATGACCCAGTCTGTACATGATATAGATGAAGTACCTGAGAAATGTTGTTATTTGACCAAGGTTATAGAACTAGCTCATAGCAAACCCAAAACTAGAACCGAGAACTGAACCTCTCAAATATTAGTATGTTCTGGAATTTTCCAGGGAGTTGTTAAAAATGTATATATATACTCTTGGGCTCCACTTCCAGAGATTTTCTTTCAGTAGGTTGAAGGCAGGGCCTCAAATACATCCACCCTGCCTCCCATGCGCCTTCATCTCACCCATGATGCTCATATAGGTAACTATGCCTGGATGACACTTGCAGAATTGCTGACAGGGTCTTCTGAAGCCCATTCATAGAATTGGGTTAGAAAGTTACAATAAAGCTATTCTTTATCAGGTTTTTATTGTAGATAGATCTATTTCTTTTCTTTTCTCTTTTTTTTTTTTTTTTGAGATGGGGGGTCTCACTCTGTTACCCAGGTTGGAGTGCAGTGGCATGATCTCGATTCATTGCAACCTCCACCTCCCAGAATCAAGCAATCCTCCCACCTCAGCCTCCCAAGTAGCTGGGACCACAGGTGTGTGCCACCACGCCAGCTAATTTTTTGTATTTTTGGTAGAAAACGGGGTCTCACCATGTTGCCCAGGCTGATCTCGAACTCCTGAGCTCAGGGGATCCACCCACCTCAGCCTCCCAAAGTCCTGGGATTATAGGCATGAGCCACGCTCCCAGCAGATCTATTTCTATAAAGCATTATTTGCCTCTTCTAGATACAATTGAGATGTGCTGTATATAATGGGGTTTCACTCTGAACGCATTCTCGCTTGTACCTGTTAACTAAATACCTTAATGGCAGCAAGGTCATCAGAATTACCTGGGCAGATTCCTTAAAATACACATTCCTGGACCTTACCCCTGGATATTCTAATTCAGTGCAGTATAAAAAGTGTGATTCAGCAAGACTTGAGAACCTCTTTGTTTATGGAATTTTTGGTTTGAGTTCTTTTTTTTTTTTTTTTTTTTTGAAATGGAGTCTCACTCTGTCGCCCAGGCTGGAGTGCAGTGGCGTGATCTCAGCTCACTGCAAGCTCCACCTCCCGGGTTCACAAGCGATTCTCCTGCCTCAGCCTCCCTAGTAGCTGTGATTACAGGCACGCACCATCATGCCGGGCTAATTTTTGTGTTTTTGTAGAGATGGGGTTTCACTATGTTGGCCAGGGTGGTCTGGTCTGGAACTCCTGACCTCAAGTGATCCACCCTCCTTGGCCTCCCAAAGTGCTGGGATTACACGCGTGAGCCACCACACCTGGCCTGAGTTCTTTTTTTTTTTTTTTTTTTTTTTTTTTTGAGATAGAGTCTAGCTCTAGCTTTGTCGCCCAGGCTGGAGTGCAGTGGTGCGATCTCGGCTCACTGCAAGCTCCGCCTCCCGGGTTCACCCCATTCTCCTGCCTCAGCCTCCGGAGTAGCTGGGATTACAGGCGCCCGTCACCACGCTTGGCTAATTTTTTTGTATTTTTAGTAGAGACGGGATTTCACCGTGTTAGCCAGGATGGTCTGTATCTCCTGACCTCGTGATCTGCTCCCTCGGCCTCCAAAAGTGCTGGGATTACAGGCGTGAGCCACCGCGCCTAGCCCATTATCAGATATTTTGAAGTAGCTATTTTGAGGTGGCCATTTTAGTATCAGAACTTTTTTTCTTTTTCTCTTTTCTTTTCTTTTTTCTTTTTTTTTTTTTTTTTTGAGACAGTCTTGCTCTGTTGCCCAGGCTGCAGTGTAGTGGTGTGATCTTGGCTTACTGCAACCTCCGCCTCCTGGGTTCAAGCAGTTCTCCTGCCTCAGCCTCTCGAGTAGCTGGGATTACAGATGCCCGCCACCACGCATGGCTAATTTTTGTATTTTTAGTAGAGACGGGCTTTCACCATGTTAGCCAGGATGGTCTCGATCTCCTGACCTCGCGATCCGCCTGCCTTGGCCTCCCAAAGTGCTGGGATTTGTATATTTCTTAATAATGAAAGCAAGCTGAGAATCAGATATTTTGAAGTAGCTGTTTTGAGGTGGCCATTTTAGTATCATTTTAGTATCAGAACGTTTTTTTTTTTTGAGACAGAGTCTTGCTCTGTTACCCAGGCTGGAGTGTAGTGGCGTGATCTTGGCTCACTGCAACCTCCGCCTCCTGGGTTCAAGCAATCTTCCTGCCTCAGCCTCTCGAGTAGCTGGGATTACAGGCAGATACCTGTAATATATATATACAGGCTGATAAATATTATATACTTATATAGTATATATAAATATATAATATAATATGTATATATGAGATGTGCTGTATAATAATAATTAATAGTATAATACATATACATATACATATATAATAGTATAATACATATACTATTAATACTATAATACTATAGTATATTATACTATAATATACTATTACTATATTATACTGTTATACTATATTATACTATAGTATACTAATAATAGTATATACTATTATTATATACTAATATAATAGTATAGTATACTAATACTATATTATACTATTAATATATAATATACATACATATACATATAATATGTGTAATATAATACATATATGTATATATGAGTTGTGCTGTATATAATGCTGTGTATGTATATATGAGATGTATATGTAGATGTATATGTATATAATGCTGTATATGTATATATGTACATATTATATATGTATATATAATATATATTATATAATATAAATATAACAATATAAATATTATATATATATCCAGGAATCTGCCCAAGTAATTCTGATGACCTTGTTGACATTAAGGTAGTTAGTTAGGTACAAGCAAGAATGCGTTCAGAGTGAAACCCCATTATATACAGCACATCTCAATTGTATCTAGAAGAGGCAAATAATGCTTTATAGAAATATATCTGCTGGAGCGTGGCTTATGCCTAGAATCCCAGCACTTTGGGAGGCCGAGGTGGGTGGATCCCCTGAGCTCAGGAGTTCGAGATCAGCCTGGGCAACATGGTCACCTGAAGTCAGGAGTTCAAGACCAGCCTGGCCAATATGATGAAACCCTGTCTCTATAAAAATGCAAAAATTAGCTGGGCATGATGGCAGGTGCCTGTAATCCCAGCTACTTGGGAGGTTGAGGTGAGAGAATCACTTGAACCTGGGAGGCGGAGGTTGTAGTGAGCTGAGATCATGCCACTGCACCCCAGCCTGGACAACAGAGCAAGACACCATCTCAAAAAAAAAAAAAAATATATATATATAAATATATATATATATATATTTATATATATTTATATATATATATTTATATATATTTATATATATATATTTATATATATATATTTATATATATTTATATATATATTTATATATATATATTTATATATATATTTTATATTTATATATATATATAAAATCATATATATATACACGCAAAACATATTCTCTCTTATTTGAGAGAGCTAAAAATTAAAATAATCGAACTCTTGGAGATAGAGAGTAGAAGGATGGTTACCAGAGGCTGGGAAGGGTAGAGGTGGTGTAGGGAAGAAGTAGGGATGGTTAATGGGTACCAAAAATTAGAACAAATAGGCTACTCTGGTTGCACTGCCTGTGAGTTAGCCCTGCTCTGCAAGGAGCAGCCATAAAGAATTTTTTGTTAGTAAAAATGATTAATAATAGTAATTTAATTGTACATTTTAAAATAACTAAAAGTATAATTGGATTGTTTGTAACACAAAGGGTAAATGCTTGAGGGGATGGATACCTGATTTACCCTGATGTGATAATTATGCACTGCATGCCTGTATCAAAATGTCTCATGTAACCTTGAATATATACACTACTATGTACCCACAAAAATTTAAAAACAAAATTAATACAAAAAAATACAAAACAGACATTCATATCCTGGGGAGGTAATAGGCAATGATGAAGAAAGGGTCAAGAGTGTCTGGGAAAATCCTTTGGTAATATAAAATAGTATATAGGTATAAATGGTGTTGATCAGGGTCAAAAAACTTAGCTTGACACTTTACTAACGTAAATATAATCTGATGAAATTCAATTCTGACTGAAGAGCCTTCAGCATGGCAGATTGATGCCCTACAGGAGTACTGGTAGACTTTTGCCCATGGCCTCCTTTCTGTTTGGGGTGGCTTGTCTTGGGCTCTGACGTCAGACAGATCTGGGAGAGTCCCAGCTCCATCTTTTAATAGCCATGTGACCTTGGGTATGAAACTCAACCATTCTGTTTCATGTTTTCATCTTTAAAGTGAGCATATAAGAATTGCTGTCTCATTGAGTTACTGTGAGAATTCAATAAGAAAAATAATGAAATCATGTAAATGCATAACAAAGTAAAAGCCCCTCATAGGCTATTTGCCACTTTTCCCTCAGTCCCCCAACACACTGTAGCACTATCTCTAAATAATGATAACTCTGTTAATAGAGCTAGGTTTCATTTGAAACACAGTGTATAACAAAATGCATTAGGACGCTAGGGTCTATCCGCCCAAGCATCTTAGTTGCTTATGGAACCATAAAAATCTCATATAAGGTATTTTTGCATTGCTACCCCTTGGAATTATGGTACTCCAATCTTATAAAAAGTAGGGCTTAAGCATCAAGATTCTATGATCTTTCTTAGTTGAAGAGATAGTTATTGATTATATTCTAGTCCAGAAGATATAACAATTATTTTGAAAAAAAGTTACATTACCTGTAATGGTCCCCTTTTGAGTATAGTCTTTTTTTTTTTTGAGACAGAGTCTCGCTCTGTCGCTCAGGCTAGAGCACAGTGGCGCAATCTCAGCTCACTGCAACCTCCGCCTCCCGGGTTCAGGCGATTCTCCTGCCTCAGCCTCCTGAGCAGCTGGGATTACAGGTGCACGTCACCACGCCTAGCTAATTTTTGTACTTTTAGTAGAGACTGGGTTTCACCATGTTGGTCAGGCTGGTCTTGAACTCCTGACCTCATGATCCACCTGCCTCAGCCTCCCAAAGTGCTGGGATTACAGGTGTGAGCCACTGTGCCCGGCCTACAAATAGTCTTTTTTTAAAAATATTTTTCTTTCTTTTTGAGACAGAGTCTTGCTCTGTCACCCAGGCGGGCGTGCAATGGTGCAATCTCAGCTCACTGCAACCTCCACCTCCCAGGTGCAAGCAATCCTCCCAGTTCAACCTTCCGAGTAGCTGGGACTACAGGAACCCACCACCACACTCACCTAATTTTTGTGTTTTCAATAGAGATGCAGTTTCACCATGTCAATCAGGCTGGTCTTGAACTCCTGGCCTCAAGTGATCCACCCACCTTGGCCTCCCAAAGTGCTGGGAATATAGATGTGAGCCACCGTGCCCAGCCTACAAATAGTCTTTACAGTCCAGTGGATGCCTTCTATTGCTCTTAGCAGCTAGCCTTGTTCTTTTGTTTATATTTCCTCAACTGAAATCATTTCACCAATGATAGCTGCAACAACCTTTGAAATCTGGCCATAAGGGTTTACATAAGCCCTTCCACATAACCATTTTATTTCTCAAATGTTCTTCCTTCTGGATCAATACCAAAATAGAATTTTCAAGAGAAAACACACATACCATGCATATATATTAGAAAAACACACATATGTATTTTAATATTATTTACCTCATATTTCTATATTTTGGGGGTTTTTTGTTTGTTTTTTGGGTTTTTTTTTTTTTTTTTTTGAGATGAAATCTCGTCTGTCACCCAGGCTGCAGCACAGTGGCACGATCTCAGCTCACTGCAACCTCCGCCTCCTGGGTTCAAGCGATTCTCCTGCCTCAGCCTCTCGAGTAGCTGGGATTACAGGCGTACACCACCATGCCCCACTAATTTTTGTATTTTTAGTAGAGATGGGGTTTCACCATGTGGGTCAGGCTGGTCTCCGATTCCTGACCTCAAGTGATCTGCCTGCCTTGGCCTCCCAAATGCTGGGATTAGAGGCGTGAGCCACCTCATTTGGCCAATATTTGTATATTAAGTACCCTCATAGACACCTGAGCAGGTCAAGAAGAGAATCTTAAAACATGTTACTTGTAGACAAGTATAAATGGTTTTGAAATAATTATAATGATAGTAATAGCAGTTTACTGTGTGTACTAGATACAGTGTTAGCTCCTTTACATGCATTATTTCATTTGTTTCCACAACGACTCACAAGGAACTTGTATTAGTATCTCTATTTTGCAGAGGAAGAATTGAAGTTTTAAGAGGTTAAGTAACTTGGTCAAGGTCCAACAGTGACTGGCAGAGCCCAAACTCAAGGTCCAAGGAAACCACTCTTCACCCTTAAGCCTACTGCCACCTAATGGAGAGCGATTGAACAACAGAACAGAAAATAAACAGAAATAAATAGAAAATGTGGCCAGCTTAATAGTGTAATCAGTTTTCCACAATTCTCTGTAGTAGTCCCTGATTTTGCCACATTAGTTTTACTTTTATTTTTTGAGACGGAGTTTTGCTTTTGTTGCCCAGGCCGGAGTGCGATGGCGCGATCTCAGCTCACCGCAACTTCCGCCTCTCGGGTTCAAGCGATTCTCCTGCCTCAGCCTCCTGAGTAGCTGGGATTATAGGCGCCCGCCACCATGTACAGCTAATTTTGTATTTTTAGTAGAGACAGGGTTTCTCCATGTTGGTCATGCTGGTCTCAAACTCCGGACCACAGGTGATCCACCTGCCTCGGCCTCCCAAAATACTGGGATTACAGGCGTGAGCCACCGCACCCAGCCTAATTTAACTTTTTTTGCTTACCCTTTGAAGTAATGTTTTAAAAAAAATGCTACTTAGCCAAATGCCTCTTGATCTATAGTCAATAGAACTAAGTCAAGAGACTAAATTGCAAAAGAAAATTTCCACCTGATACACTTGAAGATAGATCTATTTTGGACATAAGTGCATAAAATAAAAAGGATTTTTTTCCCCTGTTGACACATGGATTGCAAAATCACTTTTATCCAGATCTAGCAGAAAAACAAGAGTCATTGCGTACAAGACGGGAACAGTGACTCATGCCTGTAATCCCAGCACTTTGGGAGGCTGAGGTGGGCAGATCACTTGAGATCAGGAGTTCAAGACTAGCCTAGCTAACATGGTGAAATCCAATCTCTACTAAAAATATAAAAATTAGCCAGGTGTGGCGTGGTTGCATGAGCCTTCAGTCCCTGCTACTTGGGAAGCTGAGGCCAGAGAATCTCTTGAACCCGGGAGGTGGAGGTTGCAGTGAGCCAAGATTTCGCCACTGTACTGCAGCCTGGGCAACAGAGCAAGAATCCGTCTCAAAAAAAAAAAATAGCCATTGTGTATAAACTTACCCTCATACCTCTTAATGAATTTACTTTTCTTATTTTATTTTTTGAAGGTGAAGGCAGAAATTGGAGATGTTAGTATTTTAGTAAATAATGCTGGTGTAGTCTATACATCAGATTTGTTTGCTACACAAGATCCTCAGATTGAAAAGACTTTTGAAGTTAATGTACTTGCACATTTCTGGGTGAGTATGGCTTCTTTTACAAAAATGTTCCTTTTGAAAATCCCAAAGATTAAAGTGGGGCTTTTAGCAGACATAAGGAAGTATTAAATCAATGCTAAAGTTTTCTCCAGGCACCAGGGATAACATTATACAAAGAGATCATTTTTCATGCTATGACCAAATTCTATCATTCTTCCTCACTGACAACATTAATAATAACAATAATAAATTAATAATAAATGTCAGGTGTTGTATATGTTTTAATTCTAAGCTAGGTTCTCACATTTCTGTGTGATCCTATTTAGAGATAAAGAAAGGAGTTGGGGACCATCCGAGTCATCGTCTGTGATTTTATAAAGGTGAATCCAGTTTGCTTTCAGATTCTCTTTTTTCTTTTTTAGACAGGGTCTCACTCTGTTGCCAAGGCTGGAGTGCAGTGATGCAATCTCATCTCACTGCAGCCCCAACTTCCCAGGCTCAAGTGATCCTCCCACCTCAGCCCCCTCAAGTAGCTGGGACTACAGGCATTAACATGCCCAGCTAATTTTTGTATTTTTAGTAGAGATGGGGTTTCACCATGTTGCCCAGGCTGGTGTTGAACTCCTGGACTCAAGTGATCCGCCTGCCTCAGCCTCCCAAAGTGCTGGGATTACAGGCATGAGCCACTGCCCTGGCTTTCAATTTGCATGAGGCTCAGGCCTCATGTTATTTCCTGGCCCTAAAATTGCAAACCTTATTGTGAACCTCACCATTGAAGGTCTTAAGTTATATATATGTACATATGCCGTGTGTGTTTCTGAAGTCTCCAAATATTGCCCAAATAGCCAGTTCTTAAAAAGGCCCCTCAAAGTTTTCTTGGATGTGAGTTTGGGATGACTAATCTCAAAAGAATATTGGGGTTTATAAAAATGCAGTGTTATTTTATGCTAATATTCCCAAGTTATTGACATATATCTTTATGTTTTGTGTTTGTTCAAATATAGGTTACTGTCTCTTTTTTTGTTGTTGTTTGGAGACAGGGTCTCTGTGTTGCCCAGGCTGGAGTGCAGTGACGTGATTTTGGCTCACTGCAGCTTCAGGTTCCTGGGCTCAAATGATCTTCCCACCTTGGCCTCCCTAGTAGCAGGGACTACAGGAGTACACCACCATGCCCAGCAAGTTTTTGTATTTTTTGTGGAGATGAGGTTTTGCCATGTTGCACAGGCTGATCTCGAGCTCCTGGGTTCGAGTGATCCTTCTGCCTCAGCCTCCCAAAGTGCTGGGATTACAGGTGTGAGCCACTGCACTTGGCCGGGTATTATCTTACTTGTTTCTTCATCCCAAGCATCAACAACAAGAGGTGGAGGGCTGGGGAACATAAAAATTTAGCAATTTTTTTTTTTTAAACAGTCTCACTCTGTCACCCAGGCTGGAGCACAGTGGCGTGATCTTGGCTCACTGCAACCTCTGCCTCCCGGGTTCAAGTGATTCTCCTGCCTCAGCCTCCCCAGTAGCTGGGATTACAGGTACCTGCCACCATGACCAGCTAATTTTTGCATTTTTAGTAGAGACGGGGTTTCACCATGTTGGCCAGGCTGGTCTTGAACTCCTGACCTCAAGTGATCTGCCCGAGTTGGCCTCCCAAAGTGCTGGGATTACAGGCATGAGCCACCACACCTGGCTGAATTTAGCAATTTAAATGAGATGGATTCTCAAAGCTTTCAGTAGCCATTGTTTTGCTCAGGTTTTCTAATGTGGGCATCATATCCAGTCACCTTATTGTTGCTGCATTTGTCAGTTAGTTTGTTTTTTTCATTTATGACAGGATTAATGTTAAAAAATATACTTTTGTTTCAAAATATTCCCAATAGGTCTGTGAGTCTGAAATACAGTATTTTTTCTCTTTTAATAAAAACTATTTGTAGACTACAAAGGCATTTCT
Organism: Homo sapiens; assembly: GCF_000001405.40. Lineage (NCBI taxonomy): Eukaryota > Metazoa > Chordata > Mammalia > Primates > Hominidae > Homo > Homo sapiens. The sequence continues at coordinate 87,372,798 of NC_000004.12, read as the reverse complement.
TCCTGCAATGACGAAGAATAACCATGGCCATATTGTCACTGTGGCTTCGGCAGCTGGACATGTCTCGGTCCCCTTCTTACTGGCTTACTGGTATGTGAACATGTGTTTCCTTCATTGGTTCTTATGCCTACCTTGTGTGTGAGATTTCTTACCCTGTCTAATAAGAACTCTCTTTATAATCATAAGAGACTTGAAGTTTTCCAGTTTATTATTGAGAGTTGTCAAAAAATAAGCAGAAAGAGTTGCACAAAGTCTCTTGTCTAACAGCATTATCAATCATTAATCCCCTTCTAGAGGACCCTGCTAGAGGTAGCAGCCGGAAATGTATTCAGTTACGAGCCAACCACTTTTAAAACATTTCTCATCTCTTTTAATAGCAAGAAATTACAAAGCAAGAACAATAATTAGTATTAATTATTAACATTTGTAACAAATTTAATATTTATAATTTTTAATATTAATAAAAATGGGTAAATTTTTGCAGAAATTAAATCAGAGTGAGAGAGAGAGAATATTAGGCATAGGTGGGTGATTTTTTTTTTTTTTTTTTTTTTTTGAGACGGAGTCTGGCTCAGTCACCCAGGCTGGAGTGCAGTGGCGCAATCTCGGCTCACTGCAAGCTCCGCCTCCTGGGTTCACGCCATTCTCCTGCCTCAGTCTCCCAAATAGCTGGGACTACAGGTGCCTGCCACCACGCCTGGCTACTTTTTTTGTATTTTTAGTAGAGACGGGGTTTCACTGTGTTAGCCAGGATGGTCTCGATCTCCTGACCTCGTGATCCGCCCGCCTCGGCCTACCAAAGTGCTGAGATTACAGGTGTAAGCCACCTCGCCCAGCCGAGAAGTGGCTTTTAAGAAACCACACAAGGGTGCCATTTGGGCTAACATGCAGGGTTGCAACCACACAAGGGGTTTGTACACTTCCAGCTTCGTGACAGAGCTGTGCTTTGCTAGCCCTTAGAGAACTCCTCTTCAGAATCCTCAGCTATCACTGGCCTGAACTACTACAGTCTGTGATCCTTACTGGCCACAGTTATCTTCAACTCAGCCAGCTCTGGTTTTTGCTCAGCATCTGATCAATGATAGGACTTTCACAGAGATGTGCTAAAGATTACTGCCAGCAGAAAGCAGTGTTTATCAGATATTGTTATTAACAATTGGGCAATTAAACTGAGACACTGCTTTTTTAAACATTTAAACCTTTTTTATTGACACGTGACATACATTTATAAGAATGAAGAAGTCGTAAGTGTGCAGCTCAATGAGTTACTACAAAGTGGATACATCCATTTAACTACCATGCAGGTCAAAAAAATAGAACATTACAGGACCCCAGAACCCACTCTTGGAACCCTTCCCAATCACCAGTCTCTCCTTCCTTCCCAAAGGTAACCACTATATTGACTTATAACACCTTAGATTAATTTTGCCTATTTTTGATCTTTATGTCCATGGAATCACACTATATTTGTGAGATTTATCCGTGTTATGGTTAGTAGCTATAGTGTGATCATTTTCATGGCTGCATAGTGTTGTATCATGTGACCAGACAACAATTTATTTGTCCATTCTATTATTTATGAACATTTGGGTTGTTTCCAGTAAAAATATTATTTACGAATGACATAATGTCATTTATAATGGCATTATGAATCTTGACTGAATCACTCACCAGCTGTGTGACCTTAGGCAAGTTACTCTACTCTGTGCTTCATTTCCCTCATCTGTAAAATAGGTTAATAATAATAGGCCGGGCGCGGTGGCTCACGCCTGTAATCCCAGCACTTTGGGAGGCCGAGGCGGGCGGATCACGAGGTCAGGAGATCGAGACCATCCTGGCTAACACGGTGAAACCCCGTCTCTACTAAAAATACAAAAAATTAGCCGGGCGTGGTAGCGGGCGCCTGTAGTCCCAGCTACTCGGGAGGCTGAGGCAGGAGAATGGCGTGAACCCGGGAGGCGGAGCTTGCAGTGAGCCGAGATCGCGCCACTACACTCCAGCCTGGGCGACAGAGCGAGACTCCGTCTCAAAAAAAAAAAAAAATAATAATAATAATAATAATAATAATAATAATAATATCTAGGCCAGGCGTGGAGGCTCACGCCTGTAATCCCAGCACTTTGGGAGGCCGAGGCAAGCGGATCACGAGGTCAAGAGATTGAGACCATCCTGGCCAACATGGTGAAACCCTGTCTCTACTAAAAAATACAAAAAAAATTAGCTGGGTGTGTGGTACGTGCCTGTAGTCCCAGCTAGTCGGGAGGCTGAGGCAGGGGAATCGCTTGAACCTGGGAGGCAGAGGTTGCAGTGAGCTGAGATTGTGCCACTGCACTCCAGCCTGGCAACAGAGAGAGACTTCGTCTCAAAAAATAATAATAATAATAATAATATCTAACTTATTTAGAATGCTATAAGATTTAAATCATACAATGTATTGCACTTAGCATAAAATCTGAAATCCTGCAAGTGTTCAATAACAGGAGGTTGCCTGTTGGCATTACATTTCAATTCCACTTCCTGTTATTCACACAAAACAGGGAGTTCCCACCTCTAATTTTAGCTTCCAGAATGCTTTGCCCCAGTGGAATTCATCATATATGCTCTGACGCCTAGTTTTTGGGATGAAATGAGAGGAAAAATAAGAGTATTGATCCTTTTCCCTGTAATTCAGCCCTCATCTATCATTGTCCTGAGTTACTACAGCCACAGAAAATAATTTATTCTAGCTCTAGTAGCCTATCTTAGGAAAAAAATTTTAATTTCTTTTCAGAGTTTTAGTTCAACAGTTTTAATGATTAATATGAAGAATGCAAGATAAAAGAACTGGATTTATGGTGGAAGGTGAAGCTTTTGATTCTATTCTAAAATGTTTTTTGCTGCTTGCTAAGTAATTTGTTCACAAGTATTTTGATTTTTAAAAGAAAACAATTAGCTAGCTAATATATTCTGTCAACCCAAATAGCCAATTTATAAGCATGAAAAGTTGCCAGTATGGGAACGCTCAGTAAAACTGAGTTCTGAACATTAGCTTGTAACAAAATGTTATTTAAAAGAAAAATCTGGGGCCAGGCATGGTGGCTGACACCTGTAATCCCCCAGGCTTTGGGAGGCCAAGGCAGGAGGATCACTTGAGCTCAGGAGTTCAAGAATAGCTTGGGTAACATAGCAAGATCTCATCTCTACAAAAAATATTTTAAATTAGCTAAGTGTGGTGGTGCGTGCTTGTAGTCCCAGCTACGCAGGAGGCTGAGGTGGGAGGATTGCTTGAGCCCAGGAATTGAAGGCAGCAGTGAGCCATGATTTCACCACTGCACTCCAGCCTGGGCAACAAAGACAGACCTCAACACAAAAAGAAAAAAAAAAAAAGAATTTGGAATAAGAAGTACTAATTCAGACTATTTTTTTCAGCCCTCCAAGACATCTGAATAATTTAGACTATTTCTAATAAGAAGGAATTTGATGTAATGTTACAAAGTGCAGGGGGCAAAAATCTACTCACTTTTAGCTTTCATATATATATATGCCTTTCTATATATAGGTTCACCATAAAGTTGAAAAATATGTTATTCCTTTTACACACTCAAGATCATTAACTCTGACTTTCAATATATTCTTGCATTTTTGGTCACTTAAGTAAAATCAGAAAATAAGGTTTAGTAAAAGAAAAAACTAAATTTATGGATAGCTTCACCATGCAGAAATGTTAATGGAAAGGAGTCCCGATCCAGACCTCAAGAGAGGGTTCTTGGATCTCGTGCAAGAAAGAATTCAGGGTGAGTCCACAGTGCAAAGTGAAAGCAAGTTTATTAAGAAAGTAAAGGAATAAAAGAATGGCTACTCCATAGACAGAGCAGCCCTAAGGGCTGCTGGTTGCCCATTTTTATGGTTATTTCTTGATGATCTGCTAAACAAGCAGTTTGTTATTCATGCCTCCCCTTTTTAGACCATGTAGGGTAACTTCCTGCCATTGCCATGGCATTTGTAAACTGTCATGCGCTGGTGGGAGTGTAGCAGTGAGGACGACCAGAGGTCACTCTCGTGGCCATTTTGGTTTTAATGGGTTTTGGCCATCTCCTTTACTGTAACCTGTTTTATCATCAGCGAGGTCTTTATGACCTGTATTTTGTGCTGACCTCCTATCTCATCCTGTGACTTAGAATGCGTTAACAGTCTGGGAATGCAGTCCGGTAGGTTTCAGCCTCATTTTACCCAGCTCCTATTCAAGATGGAGTTGTTCTGTTTCACATGCCTCTTGACATTTCCCCCTTCCCTTTTATAAGAGAACTCTTAATCCTAAGAGTTGCAGACGGATGAAAATCCATCTTTTGTAACTTCTTCAGGCTGAATGGGGCCATGATATTCCTGCCTAACTGTTAGGGTCTCTTGTGTTCAGGGTAGAGAGGAGCTTAGTCAGAAAGCATCAGTGTGGCGAGGGCCATTCATGACTCTTGAGTTTTTTGTGTGTGTGTTTTTTGTTTTTTTGAGATGGAGTCTCGCTCTGTCACCCAGGCTGGAGTGCAGTGGTGCGATCTCAGCTCGCTGCAAACTCTGCCTCCCGGGTTCATGCCATTCTCCTGCCTCAGCCTCCTGAGTAGCTGGGACTACAGGTGCCCGCCACCACACCCGGCTAATTTTTTGTATTTTTAGTAGAGACGGGATTTCACCATGTTAGCCAGGATGGTCTTGATCTCCTGACCTTGTGATCCACCCGCCTCGGCCCCCCAAAGTGCTGGGATTACAGGCATGAGCCACCGTGCCTAGCCGACTCTTGAGTTTTGACAAGAGGTGATATCTGGGAGATTAATAAGTATTTAGTTTAAGAAAACATTTAGTAAGCCTGTCCTGTGTTCCCACACAAAGGGTATAACAGCAATATATTCCATAAGAGTAAAGCAAAGTAAGTAAAGTTATTCCAAGTAAACTAAATTAGAAGGCTTTCCATGAACTGGGCAACTGTTGAGACCAAGCTGATATGGGGTTGCTAGCTGATTGCAATGTGCCTAGAATTTTACATTACCCATCCCTCTTGTTTCTTCTGAGCAGCAGTTAGAGATCCCTGGTTGGTTTACAGGAATAAACAGGGTTAGCCTAAATTGCAGAAACAAACTTAAAAACAACTGAGACTAGAATTTAATAACAAGTATACTATAGTTCTTGAAATATAATATTCTCTCTCCAGTTTCCCATTTTTATTAAAGACACATTATGGTAAGACTGATTTGCTTTATTATACTTGGTCTGATTATTTGTATAAAGTGCAGCGAGAATAATTATTTTTCACACAGGCTTTTTAATTGGCTTTGATGGAACTCTGTTTTATAAGGAATCTCAGGTAAGACTTTTTTAAAGCTAAGCCCTGCCATGGGTTTGTACCCTTAAATACCTATGAGTTGGGTAAAACACTTTTCTTTTGAGGTCCCAAGTTAACTTGGGCCTCCTGGACCTGTAAGAAAGTGACATTCTTTACTTACCATAGGTCAGAAACCCTGTACAGGGACTGTGTAGGCAAAGTATGAGGCCAGTTTCCCATAGGGCTTTTATTGGCTTTACAAGTCAAGTTTGATTCTTTAAAGGAAAGCACACCATTCCAGTCAAAGCCTTGGTAAAATAACCAATTTCTCCAATAGTGTCCCATTACAAAAGAAAACAGATTTTTGTTGCACTTATACAAACAACTATATTGCCATAAGTTAAGAATACTTACAATTGGTTTCCATTCCGGAGAAATCAGGTAGAGAGAAACAAATATGTTTCAAATTTTGTTCATAGGAGTATATTTTACTTAATTGCTGCAAGCTGTAAATAGCTTAAAAGAAGTTTCCTTTGAAAAATAAAAGATCAGCAATATTTTAAGCAAAGTTAAAAAAAATTACTTCAGTTTTCTATTGGTTCAGTTAATTCAGTTAACTCCTGTTCTACTTGTTATTCATGAACATTCCAGCTTTTTATGAGAGTTTCGAAAGTTGTTTTCTTTATTTTAATGTTACAATTTCTAAAGTTATTAGCAACCTGCATTTAAGAACATCTGCTAGAATTCTATAGTTGATTATAAACCACCTTTTAAAGAAGATTAAAACAAGACAACAACTGTCTGTGGATGATAAAAACTTTAGGACAGCCACTATTAAAGCCACAATTGATAAGGAAATTTGGTTACTTTTGTGGCATACAAAATTTTACATAACAATTATAATTATTAGTAACATACACTAAGTCATATTAGAAATAAAGGAGTTTCTTATAACTTTGGAACATATACCAATAACATATTTATACAAATATAGTCCAAAGAAAGCAAAACACTGTTTCACATTTGAGAATGCTTCCTGGATGATTTTTATACCAAATAAGCGAAATTTCACCTTTACATTAATGTATTATTAATGTTAAACCCAATTTTTAATAAAACCTTAGAGACATATTTACCCAATTTTAATGTTTAATCCTAAGGTAAGATTTTATAAACCTTTATAACCCTTTACATTTTTTTGTGAAAGCGCAGATAAGTCCTCTAAGAGAAACCTGTTGTGCTTTTATTCCAATGTTTAATTTATGGAAAAACTGAATAATACCCCTTTAACTTTAGCTAATATGTTCATACACAGAATCTCTTACAATTAATTTTTATAAACCTTCCACAAAGGCCAGGTGCAGTGGCTCACACCTGTATATCCCAACACTTTGGGAGGCCAAGATGGGTGGATCACCTGAGGTCGGAAGTTCAAGACCAGCCTGATCAACATGGAGAAACCCTGTCTCTACTAAAAATACAAAATTAGCCAGGCATGGTGGCACATGCCTGTAATCCCAGCTACCTGGGAGGCTGAGACAGAAGAATTGCTTGAACCCGGGAAGCAGAGGTTGCGGTGAGTCAAGATCACGCCATTGCACTCCAGCCTGGGCAACAAGAACAAAACTCCATCTAAAAAAAACCTTCCACAACTTCTTTAAATCTTTTTTTTTTTTTCACTTAACACAATCCTTTAACACTTTAATCTAGGCAGAAAATAATCCGCATTCCCATGCTTCTTCTTACAATTTTTTTTTTAACCAAAAACACATTTCACCTTTTTTATACACCTTGCATGTAAAACTGTTTCTTCAGTAGTCTTAATTACACATTACAATGCTAACTTCTAGCAACTTTTATTTTTGATGAAAACGTTGGTTAAGTAAGGGATTTTAATTATGTACTAGGTGTGGAGACTAGTCTAGGACACACCAGGCAGAAGTGCAGATAAGGGCTGACTCTCCAGCATAGCCAGGGGCATGAGGCCTTATCTAGAATCTGATGGCTTTAAAGTAGGTAAATAGAACAGTTTTCAAAAGTTAAAGAAACAGTTTGTCCTTAAAGCATTTAGCAAATCTGATATCTGACCTTAATTTAGACCAAATGTCTACATTTTTAAGACATTTTATTTTACCAATAAACTTTAAAACTGTCTTTATTTTCAAAAGATTACTAAAGTCACACGAACAAAAAGGCATTAGTTTCTATTTTTCTGAAAAAATATTTACGCACTTACTTTTCTAAGTCAATTGATTAGAGCTTTGTAATATATAAACATACACTATAAATAGAAGATTCAGCACTTATACAGTTTTTCGTTTGCCAGTTTCTTTTTTTTTGAGACAAAGTTTCGCTCTTGTCACCCAGGCTGGAGTGCAGTGGCATGATCTTGGCTCACTGCAACCTCTGCCTCCCAGGTTCAAGTGATTCTCATGCCTCAGCCTCCCGCGTAGCTGGGATTACAGGCGCCCACCACCACACCCAGCTAATTTTTGTATTTTTACTAGAGACGGGTTTTCCCCATGTTGGCCAGGCTGGTCTTGAACTCCTGACCTCAAGTGATCCGCCCACCTCAGCCTCCCAAAGTGCTGGGATTACAGGCATGAGCCACCTCGCCCCACCATTTGCCAGTTTCTTAATTGGATGACAGGTTTCAGAGTGGAGCCCTTGGAGGAACAGAGCTGGGACAGCATGCATTTCTAGGGCTAAATAAGTAGCAAATAAGCAGCTGAAGGCAGACAGATCTCCAAAATTAAAGGTGGTATTTTATACTGGATCCTGGATCCCCAAAAGGAGGGAAATACTACGGGAGAAGACAATGCAGTGCTTTTACCGACTGTGCATTTCATTGCAAGGCAACCTAAAGCCAATCAGCCCATTTTGTAATCAGCCCATCCTCATGAGAGTCTCATCTCCCAGTGAGGGGTGAGGATGTTGCCTTATCTTCCAGGTGGCCTAGAGCATGCTTCTCTGATCCAAGTGTGCAGAGTCAAGTATCCCTCCATAACTACTATTAGCCACCCCTTAAAGTACATTTCCTACCTAGTTGTTACACACCAAAGCTCTCTCATAATGCAAAGTAATTGCTGATAACCCCCCTCCCCCAAACTCAAAACCGTCAGATAACACAATGCAAAACAGAACAGAGCCTTTGATTTTGAGAGGAATCTATCTGCTTTTAATTCTTGGGGTCTCATGAGGAAAACAGAGGGGTTTTTTTTCTTTTTTTTTTTTTTTTCCCAAAACTGGATCTGTGGTGCTGCCTTTGTTTTTCCCAAGTAGTCCCAAGCTACCAGAAGTTATCTACGGGCCTTTCATGTGAGCATTAATAGTAACAAGACAAAACAAAACAAAACAAAACAAAAAAACAAAAATAATTCACTTGACTGAGAAGAAAAAACCTTTTTCCAGCAAAACAAGCTTCAAGAAGAGAAAAACATAAAGGCCTTTTAAATATATTTATAGCTTATTCCACTTTTAATTAAGCTGACTTTTCACCATAGTGCTCTTTAAAGAAGAAATCCTTTCAGAGCTCTTATTACCCGACTTTAGCCATGCCAAGCGGCCAATATTTCCAGCTTCTGAACTTTACCAAAGGTAAACTCCTAGGTGCTTAGAAGAAGGAAAATTGAAGACAGTCCATGGAGGAGAAGAGAATAGACACATATATTAAATCAGTAATGACTTATTTCCTGGGTGGGGAATTGAACCTAGACTGCCACTGTGAAAGTGCAAAACCTTAGCTACTGAGCTACAGGTCTGGGCAGTGTCTATTTCTTTTCTCAGAAGTAGTCTAGATTAGTTAATTTTGAGCTTGCAAAGGCTTTTAACTATTTAATATGATTTTCAGAGCTGGCTATGACATGAACTTTAAAATTCTTGTTCCCTGGAAGACAGAGCCCAAGAGAAGGTACTGCCATGCGGTTAAAAGGTCAAGCTCCCAAGCACATAAAACAAGGTGGAGACTTCATCGGGTTTTTTGTTTGTTTCAGGGACCTGCAACCAAGTTTGTTACTGACCAGCTTGCTGGGTAGTCTTGAAAAGCGGGCTTACAGGTGTTCTAAGCCCATGTTTTATCCTGAAGTACCCCTCTACACGGAAAAACGAATTCATAGCACAAAATACACCAGCTTAAGACTAGCCTTAGAATTCTTTTTCGCATTAATTAAGTCTTTACAGAGGTGATAAACACTGATTTTTTTTCCATTCATTCAACTGTTTGCACAGAGAGAGAGAAGCTAAAAATCTGACTGGTAACAAATTCTTAGCCTTTTGCTGGCATGCCAGGCTTCTGGGTTCCTTTTCCCTGAGCAGCCCTAGTGATCGGGCTTGTGGCACCATCTCCCCGGGGGCCAAGCTGCATCATAAAGGAAAAAAATTTTTTTTTTCATTTTGACCAGAGCAAAATATGCATGATAAAACATAGACATTAGCTACTCTGCTTAGCACCCAATATCAAACTGGCAAGGCTTAAATTTACCCCCAGTTGGGCCCCATCATCTTTAATCCAACCTCTGACTTGGAATTTCAACATGTGGTCTCTGGGCAAGAAGGTCGCCCTGAGAAATAGAAAAGATAAGAAAGGGAAAGGAAAAGTAGAGACGGAAAGTATTGCCTGTGGCAGGGTGGGGAAGGCAAAATGATCAGGGAGGCCAGAGAAAGACCCACCTATTGCAGCAACACTGAAAACTTCAGGCTGCTGCTGTCGGTTGAGCAGGGATCTTTTTCAGCAATCCTGTCAGCTCTCAAGTTTCCCCTTTTAGGCAGGAAAAAGCTCCCCATGTCCCACGATCCTGTGCATGCCTAACCCTGTCACCCATAGCCATCAGCAAAGAGTACAAAGGCAGATTAATCCAAAGAGAACAGCAGTTAACATCCCATAGTGCCAAACCTGTTCTTAGCTGAAAGGGACTTTACTGAGAGGGTCCTCTAACCCCCTAAATCTTATTCATTTTATTTATTATTTTATTATATTTTATTTTTGAGATGGAGTCTCGCTCTGTTGGCCAGGCTGGAGTGCAGCAGCACAATCTCGGCTCACTGCAACCTCGGCCTCCCGGGTTCAAGCAATTCTCCTGCCTCAGTGTCCTGAGTAGCTGGGATTACAGGCATGCATCACCACGTCTGGCTAATTTTTGTATTTTTAGTAGAGACCGGGTTTCACCGTGTTGGCCAAGCTGGTCTCGAACTCCTGACCTCAAGTGATCCACCCGCCTTGGCCTCCCACAGTGCTGGGGATTACAGGCGTGAGCCACTGCACCTGGCCTAACCTCCTAAATCTTAGAAGGGACTCTAATCCTCCTAAGTCAGGCCTCTAACTTGACGTCAGTCAAGTGTCCTTGCCTTTTATTAAGAAGGACCTGTAACCCACTCTGTCTTAGGAGAGACTCTAACTCCCCTAAGTTGGGCCTCTAACCCAATCCCATTCTTTACCCAGGTGTAGGCACCCCACTTACTCAAAGTCAGCCCACTGTTGTGCCCTGATGATTTTCCTTTGGGTCAGGGGTCTCTTCAGTATTGTAACTCTATGGTCTGCCAGAAATATGTTACAGGACCCCAACACTTACCCAAAGGTAGCCATAGGGTCAGGGTTTCTGCACTTTAGTCCCTTCGTGGTTGCCAGAAAGATGTTACCAGAAAGGGGTCCCGATCCAGACCCCAAGAGAGGGTTCTTGGATCTCATGAAAGAAAGAATTCAGGGTGAGTCCACAGTGCAAAGTGAAAGAAAGTTTATTTATTTTTGAGACAGAGTCTCGCTCTGTTGCCCATGATGGAGTGCAGCGGCGCGATCTCAGCTCACTGCAAGCTCCGCCTCCCGGGTTCACGCCATTCTCCTGCCTCAGCCTCCCTAGTAGCTGGGACTACAGGTGCCCGCCACCATGCCCAGCTAATTTTTTGTATTTTTAGTAGAGACGGGGTTTCACTGTGTTAGCCAGGATGGTCTCGATCTCCTGACCTCGTGATCCGCCCGCCTTGGCCTCCCAGAGTGCCAGGATTACAGGCATGAGCCACCATGCCCGGCCGAAAGCAAGTTTATTAAGAAAGTAGAGGAATAAAAGAATGGCTACTCCATAGACAGAGCAGCCCCAAGGGGTGCTGGTTGCCCATTTTTATGATTATTTTTTGATAATATGCTAAACAAGGGGTGGATTATTCATGCTTCCTCTTTTTAGACCATGTAGGGTAACTTCCTGACGTTGCCAGGGCATTTGTGAACAGTTATGGCGCTGGTGGGAGTGTAGCAGTGAGGACGACCAGAGGTCACTTTTGTGGCCATTTTGGTTTTGGTGGGTTTGGTTTTGGTGGCTCCTTTATTGCAAACTGTTTTATTAGCAAGGTCTTTATGACCTATATTTATTTTGTACTGACCTCCTATGTCATCTTATGACTTAGAATGCCTTAACCATCTGGGAATACAGCCCGGTAGGTTTCAGCCTTATTTTACCCAGCTCCTATTTAAGATGGAGTTGCTGTGGTTTACATGCCTCTGACAAAATAATCATGATATGCATGTTATAATTTTTAAGGATATTTTAAATGCAAACATATAGTTATGCATTGAAAAAATATATAATTTTGGCTCTTAATTTAAAATAATATATGTTAATAAATATTATGTGCAACATCGTTTTCTATTTCTGCGTGGGATACCACTGCACATACGTGCCACTAGTTATTCAATTTACTCATTATCATTGGTATTTTGTCACTCTTTCAGTTGCAAGGAACAAAAAACTTAAACTGCCCCAGGCCCAAAGAGGAATTTTTTGGCTCTGTGATTAAAGTCTCAAGCAGGCTGTCTTCCTCTGATGGCCAGATATCTACCAGAAGTTCCAGGGTTAAACCCTTTAAATTCCAAGTCCAGCAGGAAGGGAAAAAAAACATCACTTCAACAGTGGCTTCAAACGTTCTTGTTCTAGAGGTCAGTGACTAGACTAGCCTGGAGCCAATCACTGTATGCATTTGGTGACAGCGGTATTACCAGAACAAGGGGACACAAATGCTGATGGGAAAAAACAACAGCTGTCCACTACAGACATTTCACATTATTCCCAACTATTTGCTTTAATGAACTGCACTCCAGGGACTATCCTTGAACATTAATCTTTGGAGACATCATTGATTATTACCTTGGGATAAACACCGGATCTGAGAGCGTGGCATACTTTTAATGAATTTGATACCTTTTGCCAAACTGCCTTCCAGAAAAGGCTACCAGTTAACCTGTGCTTTGGAAAATAGAAAGCTGTGGAAAGAAAGTGTTTTTTGTCACTTTTTTGAAAGTTTGACATATATTGAATGAAGCCTTAAAAAGAAAAGATTGCTAGATTCAATTATATGAGGTGAAATATCTGTACATTGAAAAAAACTCAGATGAAAATTTCTGTCCTTATAATTACTGCTAGGCAAGAATTCCGTCTTGTTTTACTTTGCTTTTATATGAATTATTCCTAAAGTAAATCATTTTTATATGCCTACATCTACTGGCATTTTTATATTATGATTTTTCCATGAATGCCCTTTAGCCATTTATCTATTAGAGTATTGTCTTATTCCTTTATAAAAGTTGCCATATATTAACCTTATCCTTGTCTTATATGTTGCAAATGCTTTACCAGTTTGTCACTTGCCTCTTAATTTGCTTGGAGTTAATAAAGTTTAGAATATATCATATATAAACCTGGTTTACTACCCACACGTAAAACCTGATTCTGCCACTTTGTTTTGTATCTTCAGGCAAGTTTGATAACCCATCTTTACCTCAGTTTCCTCTTTGGTAAATGAGGATCTTAATATATTTTATAGGGGTATTATGAAGATTAAACAAAATAATTATTTAGAATAGGCCAGGTACTGTGGCTCACACTTATAATCCCAGCGCCGTGAGAGACTGAGGCAAAAGTATGACTTAACCCCAGGAGTTTGAAACCAGCCTATGCAACGTAGCGAGACCCACATCTCTACAATAAAGTAAAATAATTATTCAAGTGTTGTGGCACATGCCTGTAGTCCCAGCTACTTGGGAGGCTGAGGTGATAGGATTGCTTGAGCACAGAAGTTCCTAGGTTGAAGTGAGCTATGATTGCATCACTGCACTCCAGCCTAAGTGACAGATAAAGACTCCCCAAAAAACTCCAAAATGCATCAGAATAACTGAGGGCAATGTCTAGCACTTAGTAATCTATTTTAGATCTGATTTTTATTTATGTTGTTTTTCAGTATACAGAAGCTTTTAATCTCATATAATTTAATCTAACAATCTTTCTTTTAAGCCTTCTGTATTAGTCCCCTCTCACCCTGCTATAAATAACTGCCCAAGACTGGCCAATTTATAAAGGAAAGAGGTTCAATTGACTCACAGTTCTGCGTGGCTGGGGAGGCCTCAGGAAACTTACAATTACAGAGGAAGGGGAAGCAGGCATGTCTTAAATGGCAGCAGGAGAGAGACAGCGAGAGAGAGTAAGAGCAAGAGACGAACTGCCAAACACCTAAAAAACCATCAGATCTTGTGAGAACTCCCCCACTATCACGAGAACAGCATGGGGAAAACTGCCCCCACGATCCAGTCACCTCCCACCAGTGCCCTCCCTCAACATGTGGGGATTACAATTCGGATTACAATTGTTGATGAGATTTGGGTGGGGACACAGCCAAACCATATCAGCTTCAATAAGTGCCTAAACTTTTTTTAAAAAGGTAAGAAATTTTTTTTAAAATTTTTTAAAAAATTTCCACAGCTTTCTGTCTTCCAAAGCATAGATTAACTGGCCAGAATGTATAGCTACTTTGTGTAATTGCTAATTCATACAGATTTAACAGAATAAAAGATTATCTGATAATTATTGCCACTGAATTGCACACTTAAAAATGGTTAAAATGACATGTTTTACATGATATATATTATACCACAACTTTTAAGTTAATTATATATCAAAAACCATTTAATTGTGTACATTAAGTGAATGCTTTGTGTGACATATGAATTTATATCTCAATAAAGCCCTTTTTAAATTAAAAAAACCTGAGAAAGTAATGTCCATTTAGAATAAGTAATTTCACTACTACTTCCAAATGAAAGAGCTGTTAAAATAAACGCTTTGCATTGTGATTCATTCATTTGACAAATATTCATTGAGCACCTAAGAGCCAAGCACTGTGCTGGGCCCTGGAGATTCACTGGTGACCAAAACAGTCATGGAGCTTATAGGAAAGGTGTGGGAAACAGATGTTTTAAAAAATTTAATCTCAGCTGGGCGTGGTGGCTCACGCCTGTAATGCCAGCACTTTGGGAGGCCGAGGTGGGCAGATCACGAGGTCAGGAAATCGAGACCATCCTGGCTAACATGGTGAAAACCCGTCTCTACTAAAAATACAAAAAATTAGCCGAGCATGGTGGCGGGCGCCTGTAGTCCCAGCTACTGCGGAGGCTGAGGCAGGAGAATGGCGGGAACCCGGGAGGCGGAGCTTGCAGTGAGCCGAGATCGCACCACCGCACTCCAGCCTGGGTGACAGAGCAAGACTCTGTCTCAAAAAAAAAAAAAAAAAAAAAAAAAAAAAATTTCTCTAATGAATGTTCAGTTACAAATCTGAGATAGATACTATCATAGAAAACTGAAAATTACTATATAATGAGAAAATAATTTAGACTGGGGGTTAGGAAAGGCCTCTTTGAGGAAGTGAAGCTGTGACTTAAAGGAAGAATAGGATTTATCCAGGAAAAGTTTTCAGCAAATTCTATGGACATCTTAAAGTAAATAAGGAACAGCTTATAGTGACACTGAATTTTGTGGAACAACAACAAAAACAAATACTCTACTAATTTTCTTTAAAAGGCTTTTTAAGGAAATGTTCTTATTCCGTAAGTGATGCTAAGATGCAGTAAATCTTCTATGTCAGGGCTTCTTGGACCTTAATGTGCCTACAGATTTACCTGAGAATCTTGTAAGATGTGGGCTCTGATGCAGTAGCTCTGGGCTGGGGCCTGAGACTCAGGGAATGCCCACATTGCTCTGCAGAGGACCATGCTGAACTGAGGAAAACAGGCAGACATTTCAGAATTCTTGAATTATTTTGTAAACTCTCTATTTTCAGTTCAAGCAAGTTTGCTGCTGTTGGATTTCATAAAACTTTGACAGATGAACTGGCTGCCTTACAAATAACTGGAGTCAAAACAACATGTCTGTGTCCTAATTTCGTAAACACTGGCTTCATCAAAAATCCAAGTACAAGGTAAGTTGAGAAATTGAGACAAAAGGATTGGTGGTTGCTATGAATACCAGCCATTCTGTGGGTTTTCCTAAATGTTTTAATCCTGAAAACACCTGATAGTTAAAGCTCTTAGTTCATTTTGATTTCAGTTTCTGCAGATTGTGGGAAAACAGGTGGAAAGCCAAAAAGAGAGAAAGCAAGGGAGCGTGACTAAAAAAGTAAATATGAATGACATTGGTAAACTTGCTAACTCTTCCTTTTTTCTTCTCCTGAGTAATGATTCACAGGCTTAAATATGCATACATGTCACCAGGTGTGCTTGGGAACTATGTTGGGGCTTCACCCTCAGATATGTTGACTTACTGGGTTTGGTTGGGGTAGGGTAGTGGCAGGGAAGGGAGCCTGGAACTCTACATTTAAAAAAGGTGATTATCATAGGTGATTCTGATAGAGATAACCCAAGACCACATGTGAAAAACACTTCCCTTGGAGGTAATCTAGAGATTAGCCTCCGAAAGGAGTACCAGATCATACTCTTTACTTGGTTAAAAAATAAAATTATAAAGGATTAATTTGAAGATAATTTTTAATGTTTTCTCTCTTTAGAAATAGCTTTAATGTCTTTGTAAACATGATGCATACTTATTTGTTTAAATTCCAATGTTAATGAAAAATACAAATCGAAAAGTTTCTTTTTTAATTTCCTTAAAACCCTCTATTGAGTGGAAACCACTCTCAAAATTTTGATAAACATCCTTCTAGACTTCTCTGAATTTTCTATAACTGGCGTATGTTACACATGGGGTCCTGGAAGCAGCAAGTATACTGCATACTTCCCTCAGCATTATGTTACAGACATCTAATAAAGTACAGAGCATTATAATAAATTGTATTGATTATTGGGAGCAATAGCATCTCCTAGTGATGATTTTAGGGTTGTTTTTAGTGTTCTGGATTTTTAACAGCAAATCAGCAATAAGCATCCTCGGGCACACATATTTTCACTTTTGGATAATTATCTCCCTCAGGTAGATTCATAAAGGGGGATTACTGGGCCAAAGGGTATATAACTTGTAAAAATTCCTACATATTGCCAAACTCCTCTCCAGAAATGCTCCACTGATTTGCACTCCTACCCACAGTGCAGGGAGAGCAACTTACTCTCTACTTCTTCATCAGTCTGCCTTCTGTGACTCTTTTAATCACCGCCAATCCAGTACGCGAAGAATCATCTTTGTTTTTACCCTGATGACTAGCTACATTCATGTTCGCATATGATTTTTGGACATTGCACTTCCTTTTATGAATTGCCTATTTTCATGGCATCAGCTCACTTTTTGCTATTGAGCTCTAGAGTTGTTTTTGTTTGTTTCTTTGTTTGTTTTTTGTTTTTTTTGAGACAGGGTTTCACTCTGTTGCCCAGGCTGGAGTGCAGTGGCGCAATCTCGGCTCACTGCAACCTCCACCTCCCAGGTTCAAGCGACTCTTGTGCCTCAGCCTCCCGAGTATCTGAGATTACAGGCACGCACGACCACGCCCAACTAATTTCCGTATTTTTAATAGAGATGGGGTTTCGCCACGTTGGCCAGGCTGTTCTCAAACTCCAGGCCTCAAGTGATCCGCCCACCTTGGCCTCCCAAAGTGCTGGGATTACAGGCATGAGCCACCATGCCCAGCTGAGCTCTAGAGATTTTTAATTAATACATAAGAAACAATTCTTCATACATTTGAGAAACCCCTTTATATATCACATCTGTTGCATATGTTTTTTTTTTCCCCAGTTGTTTTTTGTTTGCTTTTAAGCCTATTTTCATTTAGTTTTACATTAAAATTTTCTTAGGGATTTTTTTCTCATGGACTTTAGGTTCTGTGAGGTGTTTAGAAAGGTCTTTCTCATTCCAAGTTTTTGAAAATATTTACCCATATTTTTTCTAGCATATATTTTATGGTTGCATTTTTCATATTTAAATCATTGCCCCACCCAAATTTATTTTGATTTAAGAAGTAAGGTCACAGTATAGTTTTTTCCAAATAGTTAATGAGTTTTCTGCACTATTTATTAAATAATACATCATTTTCCTCACTGATATTAAATTCATATTATAAGTTCACATGCTTACTTGGATAGACTTTTGGATTCTCAATTTTATTGTAATGATGAGATTCAATTTTGCTTGGTTTTGTTTTGTTTTTCAGACAGGGTCTCATTTAGGCTGAAGTGCAGTGGTGTGATCATGGCTCACTGTAACCTTGAACTGGGCTCAAGCAACCCTCCACCTCAGCCTCCTGAGTAGGACTACAGTGTGTGTGCCATCATGCCCAGCTAATTTTTTTTTTTTTTTTTTTTTTTGAGAGCCAGGATTTTGCTGTTTGCCCAGGCTGGTCTCAAATTGGCCTTGAGCAATTCTCCCACCTCCACCTCACCTCCCAAAGTGCCAAGATTATAAGCATGAGTCATTGCATCCAGCCAAGATTCAATTTTTAAGTTTTATTCTGCCCCCTCAAACTTCCCCATATTTCCCCCAATTCAGCTGCCTTTGTTGAAAATGTATTTAAAATTAATGAAAAATATTCAGTGTGGCCACTTGAAGGGTTAATTTGAAGGTAAAATTGAAGATTCTAATTTTTTTCCTTTTTTTATTTTTTTTATTTTTTTTGAGACAAGGATTCGCTCTGTCACCCAGGCTGGATGCAGTGGCACAATCACAGCTCGCTGCAGCCTTGACCTCCTGGGCTCAACCTATTCTCCCACATCAGCCTCCCCAGTCCCTGGGACCATACAGGCATGTGTCCCCACACCTGGCTAATTTCTAAATTTTTTGTAGAGACAGGGTCTCCCTATGTTGCACAGGCTGGGCTCAAGGGCTCCTTGAACTCAATTGAACTCCTGGGCTCAAGTCATTCTCCCAACTTCAGCCTCTCAAAGTGCTGGGATTACAGGCATGAGTCACCATGCCTGGCCTAACAGTTCTATTTTATTATTATTATTATTTTTTTAGTGGAGACGGAGTTTCATCATATTGGTCAGGCTGGTCTCGAACTCTTGACAGCTGATCCACGGCCGCCAGGTTCTATTTTAAACACACTTAATTTAAGTCATCCCACAGGGAAGCAGAACAGAAAGCCAACGTTAGACAGAAATTTGGGAGCTGTCCAAAGATCTCAAGCCCCCAAGAATCTATCAAACAGTCTTTAAAATCTATTTTTAATACACAATTTTTGTTAGAAAACAAAAGTAAGAGTGTATATTTTAGAGGTCAATGTTTAAATTTATCAGTATTAAACAAGAGAACCCTAATTGGAGTCTGAAGAGAGAAGAGAAGGGACAGATATGTTTTTCAGGTTGGGAAATGGATCTGAGGAATGAAAGTAGTGAGGATAAGCTTCACTAAAACTGAAAGCAGATGTTGAAGATAAAACTTGCCAGTTTCCTCAATTTCTTTTTCAGTATGTGGATACTAAAATAACATATTTGAGTCAAGTTTTAAAGTCATACTGTCTTTCAGTAGTTAAAAACAGACATCCTATTTTCAAAAGTTATAATTGAATTTTTTAACCTTGCCCCCCCTACAAGGCCGCACAGAGCTGACCTTAACGTGGGCTCCAGCGCCCTCTCCTGACAAAACTTACTAGTGCCATTAATTCCTACATATTGCCAAACTCCTCTCCAGAAATGCTGCACTGATTTGCACTCTGGAGGAAAAGTGTGAAAAGAGGCTAAGATGATTCTAGGCTGAATATAAACCTGGCTAAGGAAGGGCCTAAAGATTGGTCCTGACATATGAACCTCTTTGAGGCTAAGCTGGTACTAAAGTAGACCCCAAAGATGAAGTTGGTTTTAATATAGAAACTTATTACTTCTAATTAGAAGAGAGAACATGTTCCTCGTTAAATACCTGTTTACATTTCAGACACCAAATAAAATGTCATTTTCTTAAACCTCACAACAATACTTTTGGGGAGATGTTATTAGTCCCTCTTCAGTAGATGAGAGAGATCTGAGGTTTAGAGAAATTAAATTACAAGTTATATACCCTTTGGCCCAGTAATCCCCCTTTATGAATCTACCTGAGGGAGATAATTATCCAAAAGTGAAAATATGTGTGCCCGAGGATGCTTATTGCTGATTTGCTGTTAAAAATCCAGAATACTAGAGGGAGGAGCCAAGATGGCCGAATAGGAACAGCTCCGGTCTACAGCTCCCAGCGTGAGCGACGCAGAAGACGGTGATTTCTGCATTTCCATCTGAGGTACCGGGTTCATCTCACTAGGGAGTGCCAGACAGTGGGCGCAGGCCAGTGTGTGTGCGCACCGTGCGCGAGCCGAAGCAGGGCGAGGCATTGCCTCACCTGGGAAGCGCAAGGGGTCAGGGAGTTCCCTTTCCGAGTCAAAGAAAGGGGTGACGGACGCACCTGGAAAATCGGGTCACTCCCACCCGAATATTGCGCTTTTCAGACCGGCTTAAGAAACGGCGCACCACGAGACTATATCCCACACCTGGCTCGGAGGGTCCTACGCCCACGGAATCTCGCTGATTGCTAGCACAGCAGTCTGAGATCAAACTGCAAGGCGGCAACGAGGCTGGGGGAGGGGCGCCCGCCATTGCCCAGGCTTGCTTAGGTAAACAAAGCAGCCGGGAAGCTCGAACTGGGTGGAGCCCACCACAGCTCAAGGAGGCCTGCCTGCCTCTGTAGGCTCCACCTCTGGGGGCAGGGCACAGACAAACAAAAAGACAGCAGTAACCTCTGCAGACTTAAGTGTCCCTGTCTGACAGCTTTGAAGAGAGCAGTGGTTCTCCCAGCACGCAGCTGGAGATCTGAGAACGGGCAGACTGCCTCCTCAAGTGGGTCCCTGACTCCTGACCCCCGAGCAGCCTAACTGGGAGGCACCCCCCAGCAGGGGCACACTGACACCTCACACGGCAGGGTATTCCAACAGACCTGCAGCTGAGGGTCCTGTCTGTTAGAAGGAAAACTAACAACCAGAAAGGACATCTACACCGAAAACCCATCTGTACATCACCATCATCAAAGACCAAAAGTAGATAAAACCACAAAGATGGGGGAAAAACAGAACAGAAAAACTGGAAACTCTAAAACGCAGAGCGCCTCTCCTCCTCCAAAGGAACGCAGTTCCTCACCAGCAACAGAACAAAGCTGGATGGAGAATGATTTTGACGAGCTGAGAGAAGAAGGCTTCAGACGATCAAATTACTCTGAGCTACGGGAGGACATTCAAACCAAAGGCAAAGAAGTTGAAAACTTTGAAAAAAATTTAGAAGAATGTATAACTAGAATAACCAATACAGAGAAGTGCTTAAAGGAGCTGATGGAGCTGAAAACCAAGGCTCGAGAACTACGTGAAGAATGCAGAAGCCTCAGGAGCCGATGCGATCAACTGGAAGAAAGGGTATCAGCAATGGAAGATGAAATGAATGAAATGAAGCGAGAAGGGAAGTTTAGAGAAAAAAGAATAAAAAGAAATGAGCAAAGCCTCCAAGAAATATGGGACTATGTGAAAAGACCAAATCTACGTCTGATTGGTGTACCTGAAAGTGATGTGGAGAATGGAACCAAGTTGGAAAACACTCTGCAGGATATTATCCAGGAGAACTTCCCCAATCTAGCAAGGCAGGCCAACGTTCAGATTCAGGAAATACAGAGAACGCCACAAAGATACTCCTCGAGAAGAGCAACTCCAAGACACATAATTGTCAGATTCACCAAAGTTGAAATGAAGGAAAAAATGTTAAGGGCAGCCAGAGAGAAAGGTCGGGTTACCCTCAAAGGAAAGCCCATCAGACTAACAGCGGATCTCTCGGCAGAAACCCTACAAGCCAGAAGAGAGTGGGGGCCAATATTCAACATTCTTAAAGAAAAGAATTTTCAACCCAGAATTTCATATCCAGCCAAACTAAGCTTCATAAGTGAAGGAGAAATAAAATACTTTATAGACAAGCAAATGTTGAGAGATTTTGTCACCACCAGGCCTGCCCTAAAAGAGCTCCTGAAGGAAGCGCTAAACATGGAAAGGAACAACCGGTACCAGCCGCTGCAAAATCATGCCAAAATGTAAAGACCATCGAGACTAGGAAGAAACTGCATCAACTAATGAGCAAAATCACCAGCTAACATCATAATGACAGGATCAAATTCACACATAACAATATTAACTTTAAATATAAATGGACTAAATTCTGCAATTAAAAGACACAGACTGGCAATTTGGATAAAGAGTCAAGACCCATCAGTGTGCTGTATTCAGGAAACCCATCTCACGTGCAGAGACACACATAGGCTCA
This sequence comes from Homo sapiens, assembly GCF_000001405.40. Classification (NCBI taxonomy): domain Eukaryota; kingdom Metazoa; phylum Chordata; class Mammalia; order Primates; family Hominidae; genus Homo; species Homo sapiens. The sequence goes on along the minus strand of NC_000004.12, from coordinate 87,350,998 downwards.
AAATAAAAGGATGGAGGAAGATCTACCAAGCCAATGGAAAACAAAAAAAGGCAGGGGTTGCAATCCTAGTCTCTGATAAAACAGACTTTAAACCAACAAAGATCAAAAGAGACAAAGAAGGCCATTACATAATGGTAAAGGGATCAATTCAACAAGAGGAGCTAACTATCCTAAATATTTATGCACCCAATACAGGAGCACCCAGATTCATAAAGCAAGTCCTCAGTGACCTACAAAGAGACTTAGACTCCCACACATTAATAATGGGAGACTTTAACACCCCACTGTCAACATTAGACAGATCAACGAGACAGAAAGTCAACAAGGATACCCAGGAATTGAACTCAGCTCTGCACCAAGCAGACCTAATAGACATCTACAGAACTCTCCACCCCAAATCAACAGAATATACATTTTTTTCAGCACCACACCACACCTATTCCAAAATTGACCACATAGTTGGAAGTAAAGCTCTCCTCAGCAAATGTAAAAGAACAGAAATTATAACAAACTATCTCTCAGACCACAGTGCAATCAAACTAGAACTCAGGATTAAGAATCTCACTCAAAGCCGCTCAACTACATGGAAACTGAACAACCTGCTCCTGAATGACTACTGGGTACATAACGAAATGAAGGCAGAAATAAAGATGTTCTTTGAAACCAACGAGAACAAAGACACCACATACCAGAATCTCTGGGACGCATTCAAAGCAGTGTGTAGAGGGAAATTTATAGCACTAAATGCCTACAAGAGAAAGCAGGAAAGATCCAAAATTGACACCCTAACATCACAATTAAAAGAACTAGAAAAGCAAGAGCAAACACATTCAAAAGCTAGCAGAAGGCAAGAAATAACTAAAATCAGAGCAGAACTGAAGGAAATAGAGACACAAAAAACCCTTCAAAAAATCAATGAATCCAGGAGCTGGTTTTTTGAAAGGATCAACAAAATTGATAGACCGCTAGCAAGACTAATAAAGAAAAAAAGAGAGAAGAATCAAATAGACACAATAAAAAATGATAAAGGGGATATCACCACCGATCCCACAGAAATACAAACTACCATCAGAGAATACTACAAACACCTCTACGCAAATAAACTAGAAAATCTAGAAGAAATGGATACATTCCTCGACACATACACTCTCCCAAGACTAAACCAGGAAGAAGTTGAATCTCTGAATCGACCAATAACAGGCTCTGAAATTGTGGCAATAATCAATAGTTTACCAACCAAAAAGAGTCCAGGACCAGATGGATTCACAGCCGAATTCTACCAGAGGTACAAGGAGGAACTGGTACCATTCCTTCTGAAACTATTCCAATCAATAGAAAAAGAGGGAATCCTCCCTAACTCATTTTATGAGGCCAGCATCATTCTGATACCAAAGCCGGGCAGAGACACAACCAAAAAAGAGAATTTTAGACCAATATCCTTGATGAACATTGATGCAAAAATCCTCAATAAAATACTGGCAAACCGAATCCAGCAGCACATCAAAAAGCTTATCCACCATGATCAAGTGGGCTTCATCCCTGGGATGCAAGGCTGGTTCAATATACGCAAATCAATAAATGTAATCCAGCATATAAACAGAGCCAAAGACAAAAACCACATGATTATCTCAATAGATGCAGAAAAAGCCTTTGACAAAATTCAACAACCCTTCATGCTAAAAACTCTCAATAAATTAGGTATTGATGGGACGTATTTCAAAATAATAAGAGCTATCTATGACAAACCCACAGCCAATATCATACTGAATGGGCAAAAACTGGAAGCATTCCCTTTGAAAACCGGCACAAGACAGGGATGCCCTCTCTCACCGCTCCTATTCAACATAGTGTTGGAAGTTCTGGCCAGGGCAATCAGGCAGGAGAAGGAAATAAAGGGTATTCAATTAGGAAAAGAGGAAGTCAAATTGTCCCTGTTTGCAGACGACATGATTGTTTATCTAGAAAACCCCATCGTCTCAGCCCAAAATCTCCTTAAGCTGATAAGCAACTTCAGCAAAGTCTCAGGATACAAAATCAATGTACAAAAATCACAAGCATTCTTATACACCAACAACAGACAAACAGAGAGCCAAATCATGGGTGAACTCCCATTCACAATTGCTTCAAAGAGAATAAAATACCTAGGAATCCAACACTGTGAAGGACCTCTTCAAGGAGAACTACAAACCACTGCTCAAGGAAATAAAAGAGGAGACAAACAAATGGAAGAACATTCCATGCTCATGGGTAGGAAGAATCAATATCGTGAAAATGGCCATACTGCCCAAGGTAATTTACAGATTCAATGCCATCCCCATCAAGCTACCAATGACTTTCTTCACAGAATTGGAAAAAACTACTTTAAAGTTCATATGGAACCAAAAAAGAGCCCGCATTGCCAAGTCAATCCTAAGCCAAAAGAACAAAGCTGGAGGCATCACACTACCTGACTTCAAACTATACTACAAGGCTACAGTAACCAAAACAGCATGGTACTGGTACCAAAACAGAGATATAGATCAATGGAACAGAACAGAGCCCTCAGAAATAATGCCGCATATCTACAACTATCTGATCTTTGACAAACCTGAGAAAAACAAGCAATGGGGAAAGGATTCCCTATTTAATAAATGGTGCTGGGAAAACTGGCTAGCCATATGTAGAAAGCTGAAACTGGATCCCTTCCTTACACCTTATACAAAAATCAATTCAAGATGGATTAAAGATTTAAACGTTAAACCTAAAACCATAAAAACCCTAGAAGAAAACCTAGGCATTACCATTCAGGACATAGGCGTGGGCAAGGACTTCATGTCCAAAACACCAAAAGCAATGGCAACAAAAGACAAAATTGACAAATGGGATCTAATTAAACTAAAGAGCTTCTGCACAGCAAAAGAAACTACCATCAGAGTGAACAGGCAACCTACAACATGGGAGAAAATTTTTGCAACCTACTCATCTGACAAAGGGCTAATATCCAGAATCTACAATGAACTCAAACAAATTTACAAGAAAAAAACAAACAACCCCATCAAAAAGTGGGCGAAGGACATGAACAGACACTTCTCAAAAGAAGACATTTATGCAGCCAAAAAACACATGAAGAAATGCTCATCATCACTGGCCATCAGAGAAATGCAAATCAAAACCACTATGAGATATCATCTCACACCAGTTAGAATGGCAATCATTAAAAAGTCAGGAAACAACAGGTGCTGGAGAGGATGCGGAGAAATAGGAACACTTTTACACTGTTGGTGGGACTGTAAACTAGTTCAACCATTGTGGAAGTCAGTGTGGCGATTCCTCAGGGATCTAGAACTAGAAATACCATTTGACCCAGCCATCCCATTACTGGGTATATACCCAAATGAGTATAAATCATGCTGCTATAAAGACACATGCACACGTATGTTTATTGCGGCACTATTCACAATAGCAAAGACTTGGAACCAACCCAAATGTCCAACAATGATAGACTGGATTAAGAAAATGTGGCATATATACACCATGGAATACTATGCAGCCATAAAAAATGATGAGTTCATATCCTTTGTAGGGACATGGATGAAATTGGAAACCATCATTCTCAGTAAACTATCGCAAGAACAAAAAACCAAACACCGCATATTCTCACTCATAGGTGGGAATTGAACAATGAGATCACATGGACACAGGAAGGGGAATATCACACTCTGGGGACTGTGGTGGGGTCGGGGGAGTGGGGAGGGATAGCATTGGGAGATATACCTAATGCTAGATGACACATTAGTGGGTGCAGCGCACCAGCATGGCACATGTATACATATGTAACTAACCTGCACAATGTGCACATGTACCCTAAAACTTAGAGTATAATAAAAAAAAAAAAAAAAAAAAGAAAAAAAAAAAATCCAGAATACTAAAAACAACCCTAAAATCATCACTAGGAGATGCTATTGCTCCCAATAATCAATACAATTTACTGTTTACTATAAAGGTATAATACAGCATAATCTGGGTTTATTGGAATTAAATGTAAATCAGGTGTTCCAATTATTTTTTTAAGCTCAGTTATTTTTGTTAAACTTGAATTTCAACAAATAGTTTTTAAAATTTTTTAAAAATATACATATATATATTTTTTCTTTTAGAGACAAGGTCTTGCTTTGTTCCCCAGGCTGATCTTGCCTCAGTGTCCCAAGTAGCTGGGCTATAGGCGTGAGCTGCCACACCCAGCTTAGCACACTTTTAATCTTTGCCAGTATGATAGGAAAAAAACAGTACTTCCATGTTATATTAATATGATATTTTTATCATTAAATTGGCCAACAATAATATTTTCATTCATTTAATTATTTATGTTTGAGACAGGGTCTCGCTCTGTCGCCCAGGCTAGAGTGCAGTGGCATGATCCCAGCTAACTGCGGCCTCCACCTCCCAGATTCAAGCGATTGTCCTGCCTCAGCCTCCCAAGTAGCTGGGAGTACAGGTGCGTGCCACCATGCCCAGCTAATTTTTCTATTTTTAGTAGAGATGGGGGTTTTGCCATGTGGGCCAGGCTGATCTCAAACTCCTGACCTCAAGCGATCCGCCTGCCTCGGCCTCCCAAAGTGTTGGGATTACAGTCGTGAGCCACCGCACCCGGCCCATCCTTTTATATTTAATAAATCCTACTATCTTTGCTACTCCATTTTGATTATATAAATCAGACTGCATTACACAAATGCTTATAAAACAGGTTGAAGAAATGCCCTTCTGTTCCTAGTTTGTTGAGTGTTTTTATCACGAAGGAACGTTGTATCATGTCAAATGCGTTTTTGATACCTACTGAGATGATGGTGTAGGTTTTTTCCCTTCATTTTATTAAAATGGTATATTTCACTGTTTTGTGTATGGTGAGCCACTTTGTATTCCTGGGATAATGGCATGTAGTTATTTTAATATAATGCTAGATTTAATTTGCCAATCTTTTGTTGAGAATTTTTGCATCTATATTCCTAAGAGATACTGGTCAGTAGTTTTCATGTGATCTCTTACTCTGTTTTTAGTATCGGGGTAATTCGGGACTCAGAGAATGAATTAAGAATTTCCTCCTCTTCTATTTTTTTGGGAGAATTTGAAGGATTGGTGTTAATTCTTTTTTAAACATTGGGTAGAATTCATTATGAAGCCATCTAGTCCTGGGCTCCTCTTTCCTGGAAGTTTCTTGATTGCTGATTCAATCTCTTATTAAAGATCTCAGATTTTCTGTTTTTCCTTGAGTCAGTTTTGGTAGTTTGTGTATTCCTGAGAGTTTGTATATTTCATGTAGGTTTCTAATTTGTTGGCATGCAATTGTCCTAGTATTCTATTATAATCTTATTTATTTCTGTAAGGTCAGCAGGAATGTCCCTGCTTTCATTCCTGGTTTTAGTAGTTTGAGTCTTCTCTCTTTTTGCCTTGGTCAGTGTAGCTAAAGGTTTGCTAATTTTGTTTATCTTTTTAAAGAACCTATTTTAAGTTTCATTGATTTTCTCTGTAGTTTTTCTGTCCTCTAATTCATTCATTTGTGCTTCAATCTTTTTTTTCTGCTTGCTTTGGGTTTGTTTTTATTTTTTGTTTCTATAGTTTCTTAATGTGGAATTTCACTTTACTGATTTGAGATCTTCTTCTTTTTTTAATGCAGGCATTTGCAGCTATAAATTTGCCTCTGAGCACTGCTTTCACTGCACCTCATGAGTCTTTATTTGTTTATTTATTTATTTTGAGATAGGATCTCACTCTGTCACCCAGGCTGGAGTGCCAGTTGGTGCAGTCATAACTCACTGCAGCCTCTACCTCCCTGGGCTCAAGTGATCCTCCTGCCTCAGCCTCCTGAGTATCTAGGACTACAGGTGCGTGCCACCACACTCAGCTAATTTTTAAAAATTGTTTGTAGAGACAGGGTCTCACTCTGTTGTCCAGGCTGATCTCAAACTCCTGGGCTCAAGCAATCTTCCTGCCTCAGCCTCCAAAGTGCTGGGATTATGGGCTTGAGCCACTATGCTCACCTCATCCCATAAATCTTGATATGTTGTGTTCTCATTTATGTTCACCTCAAAGTATTTTCTAATTTCTTGTGGTTTCTCATTTGTCTCATTGCTTATTTAGGGGTACTGTTTAATTTCTGTATATTTGTGAGTTTTCCAGTTTTCCTTCTGTTATTTTCTGATTTTACTCCATTGTAGTCAGAGAACATAGTTTGTATAACTTTAATCTTTTAAAACATATTGAGATTTGCTTTGTGGTCTGATGTATGGTCTACCTGGGAGAAAATTTTCCATGTGTTCTTGAGAATAATGTGTATTCTGCTGTTGTTGGGATGGTGTGAGGCATCTGTTAGGTATAGTTGATTTATAGTGTTATTCAAGTCTTCTATTTCTGCTGGTCTTCTGTCTAGTTCTTCAATATGTTGTTGAAAGTGGAAAATAAAGTCCCCGGCTATTATTGTTGAAACTGTCTTATGTCTCCCTCCCTTTAATTCTGACAGGTTTTGCTTCATGTATAATATTTTGGGATCTCTTGTTAGCTACACAAGCAATTTTTAGTTAAATGTTTTTTTCCTGAAATAAATTATCTCTTTCCAACTAATGATAGAAACAATGCCGCATAACCTGAATTTATTAGATTAAGTGTAATTGAGTGTTCTGATCATTTTGGGGGCAGCCAAGATTTATTTCTGTTGAACATCATTTTAAAACATCTAATTTCCCATCTGTAATATATATAACACAATTTATTTTTTCTCTAAAAATTTAGGAGTTTGTATGTGTGTGTCACAGAAAGATATTAGTTTTATTGACTAGTACCATAAAAAGATGTTATATAAGAAAATGCCTCATGTAACATTTGTCTAGTGTAACTGTATAAAGTGCTTGTATATATACATTTCCATTTAACCGTCATATTCCCAGTGGAGTGCTGGTGCTGGCTTATATAGTAGTACTCATTCAGTGATGTCAGGTAGATAGTTTAAAATTAGTTGTCGTGGGAATATTTACACTGTGGAAATCAACAAATGCTACTAAACTGAGATTTTTGTCCCCTAGAGAGCCAGTGGTTAAACATTTGCCACTGCACCACTGCACTATCCTTATTTTTCAGATTAGGAAATAACAAAAACAAAAACCTGAGATTTAAAGAGTTGAGGCCAGGCACAGTGGCTCACGCCTGTAATCCCAGCACTTTGGGAGGCCAAGACAGGCAGATTACCTGAGATCAGGAGTTCGAGACCAGCCTGGCTAACATGGTGAAACCCCGTCTCTACTAAAAATACAAAAATTAGCCAGGCGTGGTGGCACATGCCTGTAATCCCAGCTACTTGGGAGGCTGAAGCAGGAGAATTGCTTGAGCCTGGGAGACGGAGGTTGCAGTGAGCTGAGATCGTGCCACTGCACTCCAGCCTGGGCGACAGAGCGAGACTCTGTCTCAAAAAAAAAAAAAAAAAAGAGTTGAAATGTTTTCCCCAAAATTACTCATTACTTAAGTGGTTAAAGTAGGTCATCAAATACAATCCTTCAGACGAAAATACTCCTTCCCCCTCAGTATTTCTCTACCCCAACATGCACCCTCCTTTCCCACCCCAGCAGATTGGCTTGAAGTGTTTTTGGATAGTTTCTACAAAATCCATTAAGAACATTTGTTTAATGGGATTTGTAACTCTCGTTAACTTTAGCGTATTGGGAAAAAAAATGTTTCCACATACTGACATTTTAATGATTAAGATACTATTTTGCTAAGAAATTGAGTTTTTTCTGAAAGCCTTTTCTTTTGGCTTTTAAAATTATGATATTGAACAGTCATTGTATTTCAATAAGAAGTTATCTGACAGGGGCTAAAAACCTTAGGTAAAGAAATCGGGTACACTAGAAAAGTTTGGTGAATGCAGCACCGCTTGATAGGTAGGTTAGCAAGGCCACAGTGTGGATGAGAGAGTGCTCTATTTACACAGGTGTCTATAAGCTTTCATTGAGCTTGAGAATATTGAAGTCTGGTAGCAATGTGCTACAAAATGAATTTCCCTCTAAATGCTTTTCAAGGCATAGCATCCTTCAGTTTCTGGATTCATCCTCCTTGATACCCCTGCCTGTTTATGCTGCAAGCTTCCGTTGCCTTTGATTTTTTGCTTCCATTAGGCCAAAAGCCATCGATTTCATTATTACATTTCCTCTCCTATCAAATCTCCAAGATTTTCATATGTAATACTATTGCTTCAAGGTCCCATGGTGAACACAATATTCTAATAAATGAATGAACTGTGCTGAGAATTAAAGCTTATATATTTTTAAGCTCTACTCTCCTTCATGGATCCAATAATCATGCTCACTTTTAAATACAATATTATACTTCTCAATTGTCCCAGTTTTACTTCAAAATATATTTTTTTTCTGAATGAATTATTCTTTATTTATTTCTAAAGAATTTCATCCAGTTTTGTTTTTGTTTTTGTTTTTTTGAGACGAGATCTCACCATCTTGCCTAGGCTGGTTTCCAACTCCTGGGCTCAAGTGATCCTCCCGCCTAACCCTCCCAAATTGCTAAGATTACAGGCGTGAGTCACTCTGCCTGGCACATCCAGTACTTTTTGCCTCACTTCTTTTTTTTTTTTTTTTTTGCAGCGAAGTTTCACTTTGTTGCCCAGGCTGGGGTGCAGTGGCACGATCTTGGGTCACTACAATCTCTGCCTCCTGGGTTCTAGTGATTCTCCTGCCTCAGCCTCTCGAGTAGCTGGAATTACAGGTGCCTGCCATCATGCCTGGCTAATTTTGTATTTTTAGTAGAGATGGGGTTTCATCATGTTGGCCAGGCTGGTCTCAGACTCCTGACCTCAAGTGATCTGCTTGCCTCGGCCTCCCAAAGTCCTGGGATTACAGGCATTGAGCACCACGCCTGGTGTCTCACTTCTTTTAACTAGACACACACATTAAAAATAAGCCTCCCCAAAATGTTAGCCACCCAAATAGTTTAGTGGCATGGCAAATTTCATGAGTACATTTAATTATGTATCATTTTTTCTAAGTCATTAATAAAATGTTAAAAAGTCTCAGTACTAACTCTTGTGCAGCTCCTCTCTAATTGCACTTCTGTAACTGATTTTTTTAAGCCACTTATCTATCTATTTATTTATTTAGAGACAGGGTCTAGCTCTGTTGTCCAGGCTGGAATGCAGTGGAACAGTCATGACCCACTGCAGCCTCAGCCTCCCAGGCTCAAAGGATCCTCTAGCCTCAGCCTCCTGAGTAGCTAGCACTACAAGAGTGCACCACCACTCTTGCCTAATTTTCTTTTGTATTTCTTTGTAGAGACAGGATTTTGCCATGATGGCTAGGCTGATCTCGAAGTCCTGGGCTCAAGCGCTCCACCCGCCTCAGCCTCCCAAAGTGCTGGGATTACGGGGATACAGGCCTGAACCGTCACACCCAGCCTAAAACCCACTTTTTGGGGGCCACCTGCTAGTCTGTGGTACATATACTTGAGTGATTACACAACAAAGATGTAACATGGAACTAAGTAACAAAGCCAAAACCTAATTGCAGTGGCTCCTGCCTGCAATCCCGGCACTTTGGGAGGCCGAGGCTGGCGGATCACTTGAGTCCAGGAGTTCAAGACCAGCCTGGGCAATATGGTGAAACCCTATCTCTACTAAAAATACAAAAAATAGCCTGGAGTGGTGGCGTACATCTGTAGTCCCAGCTACTTGAGGGGCCAAGGCAGGAAAATCGCTTGAACCCAGTAGGTGGAGGTTGCAGTGAGCCAAGATCTCACCACTGCACTCCAGCCTGGGTGACAGAGTGAGACCCTGCCTCAAAAAAACAAACAAACCAAAAAAAACAACAACAACCAAAAAAACCAAAGACCTAATAAATATAAGCATATCATGTGGAGATGAAGGGCCTAAAGGTGGGCACGTACCTGTCATATTCTAATTCCTCTGATGCTTTAGGAATTGTTCACTAAGGAGACTGAGTATATAATAAAACTTGTATAATAGTATCTGATTTTTTTCCCGAGACTGCTTAAAGTTTAAAAGTAAAGTTGTCAGACCTAATCTAGCTCAATTATATTTGAATCTTAGTTACTTCTATAATTCTTATTTGTGGAATAGGAATTATAATATTGCCTTCATAAAGTTATTGTCAAACGTCAATGGAATAACCTATGTAGAAGGTTTAGCACAGTGTGTGGTACACGATAAGCACTAAGTGAATGATTGTTATTATTATTATCAATGGTAAAGTAGCTACCATTTCTGAGCACCTATACTAGGCTAGACACTACAAATCAGTTATGTTATGGTGTCTGTACCATACTAAAGCTGTTGGTTAGCACCAAACTAAAGCTGAAGCCTCGGTGAAGTATTTTGTTTCTGAAGACTGACTCTGATTTCAGTTTGGGACCCACTCTGGAACCTGAGGAAGTGGTAAACAGGCTGATGCATGGGATTCTGACTGAGCAGAAGATGATTTTTATTCCATCTTCTATAGCTTTTTTAACAACATTGGAAAGGTAAGTGACAGTTAAGAAACCTTAGAAATGAAAGGTAAAATAACAATTATCTATTGCATTTTTTACTGACATTTAAATCAGGCAGTTGATAAAGTACAGTTAAATGGAATTGACTTAATAAAAATAACAGGCTCAATAACATTGAGGCAAGATTGATACAGCTCTTGGGTAAATGAACCGAGTAATTTCCACACATTTTTACTTTTTGTAAAGAAAGAAATTTGTATATTTCTGCAAGTCTTGTCTTATAAATGAATGACTCTGAAGAAGGATAGTTTTTAAGCATCTTTACATAATGGAATCATAGAACAATGATATTAAAGGAGACCAGAGTTAGGTTTTAGGTATTTATTTAAAGATACAACAGATAATCATTGAGCTTTTGTTTTGTGCAAAATCATACTGAAGTATATGAATTGCTAAATTTTTTTTTATAATTTTAGAAATCCTTGAGTCTTGCTTCTTCCAATGTGGTTCTTGGACTACACACATTACCTGGGAGTTTGTTAGAAATACAGACTCTCCTGATCTCTTGAGTCAGAATTTGCATTTCAATAAGTTCTCCTAGATGATTTGTACGCATATTAAAATTTGAGAAGCATTTCTTTGGAGCAGTAGCTCTCAACTTTGGTGCACACTGGAATTCACCTGGGAAGTTTAAAAAATGCTGCTGCCTGAGACCAACTCCCCCAAATTCTGATTGACTTGGTTTGGAGTGTGGCCTGGGCTTTGAGAGATACAATAACTTTCTAGGTGATTCAATTATCCAGCCAAGATTGGAAACCACTAGTTTCACGAATGTCTCATCATAACACACTGCTTCATTCCTCATCTGGGAAAGCTGTGTGGCAATGAGGCTGGCCACATAAGGAGGGGAAAGGGGAGAGGTGCCTTAGGACAGCTGGGAGAAAAAGCCTCTTGCTGCCTGTCCTAGACTGGGCTTCTCCAAGTCAGTGGGATATCAGGATCACTTGGGAAGTCTATTTAAAAATAGATCCCTTGATCTCACTTCTAAAGATTTTAACATGGATGTTTGAGTTGGACCGGAAATCTGTATTTTAATAGGCAACTGCCACAGACAGTGGTCCAGAGATTATATTTTGAGAATTACTGATGCGAAGAGCAAAAAACTCAAGAAATGAAAAGCATGACATATGTTAGGCTTTCTTGCCCCTTCTGCTAAAAACTATGATGAACATGCCTTGGAGGTTTAGATAGTAAAGCTCAGGGATCTCTTTGGTGAGTAGACGAGTTAAAGCCTGTGATGTTTCTGGCATTGTACTTGTCATGTTACGTAAGTATGCACTCAGTGATCGCAGCCCCTTAGAATATAAACCTATAGAAGAAGGAATTTTGCCTAGTTTTCATCACTGTATGCTCTGCATTTTGAAGAGTGACTGACACATTAGAGGCACCAAAATGTTTGTTGATTGAATAAATTAATTCTAGTTTCTAGACCTTTAAACATAAAGACTCAAAGTTTGTGCTCTGGAGTTGAATGAAGCTGTGTTTGTGTGACTTGCTTGCAACATGAACATGGATTAGTTTTTTAACTTATCTGAAGTTCAGTTTCTTTATCTGTAACATGGAGAAAACAATTGGACTTTATAGGGCTGAGACGAATAAAGAAAATAATGCTCTTAAAGTACTCAGGGCTGGGCACGGTGGCTCACGCCTGTAATCCCAGCACTTTGAGAGGCTGAGGCAGGAGGATTGCTTGAGGTCAAGAGTTCAAGACAAGCCTGGGCAACATAATAAGACCTTGTCTCTACTAGAAATCAAAAACATTAGCCAGGCGTGTTGGAACACACCTGTAGTACCAGCTACTCAGGAGGCTGAAGTGGGAGAATTGCTTGAGCTCAGAAAGTTGAGGCTGCAGTGAGCCATGATCATGCCACTGCACTCCATCTTGAGCAACAGAGCAAGACCCTACCTCAAAAATAAATAAATAAAATAAAAAGTACTCAGTACATTGTAAGTACTCAATAAATGTTATATGCCACTGTTATTATAACTACTACTATTATTATTATCATTGCCCTAATTCTTGTTATGAGGTCACATTGGTGTCATATTTCCAAACCCTCTTTTCATGCCATCTAGGCAGATTTCTGTATATTATTATGTTGATTTACATATTCTGTTTTGTTTTCTCCCAGACCCACTGGAATGTGACAACTCCCTAAATATTCTAAGTGTAGTGTCTGGAGAAAAGAGATGAGACCTGCTAGTGTCCGTCACTGTTCAAGACATTTTTTGGGGGGGTGCTGTGGGGGACGGAGTCTCGCTCTGTCGCCCAGGCTGGAGCGCAATGGCATGATCTGGGCTCACTGCAACCTCCACCTCCCAGGTTCAAGCAATTCTTCTGCCTTAGCCTCCTGAATAGCTGGGACTATAGGCACCCGCCACCATGCCTGGCTAATTTTTTGTATTTTTAGTAGAGACAGGGTTTCACCGTGTTAGCCAGGATGATCTCGGTCTCCTGACCTCGTGATCCACCCGCCTCTGCCTCCCAAAGTGCTGGGATTACAGGCGTGAGCCACCACGCCAGGCCAAGACATTTTATTTAATATAGTAACACATTGATTCCACAAAAGAACACTGAGGGATAGATGTTAATTTTTCCATTTACACGTGAGGAATTTAAACTGAAAGGTGAAATAATTGGTTCAGCATTATGCTCAAAACCAAAGCGTTGTCTGCATTTTTATTTAGCAGTTCTACTTCCGCAGTCTCTTAGTGGAACATTTTAATAATATTCTGCATTATAAAGTACAAAATTAGTTCCTATTCTCATTTCCTTTTTAATGTCGGGTTTCTTTTTGTAAAGTCTTTAGTATCTCAACTCTTCAGTTCTTACACCTCCTCCCTCAGATCTTTTGTTTCAAAAACTGACTACTTCAGGTTATTCTACTGTAAAGAAGGCTAAGCCTTCTTTTCCATTTGAAAAGGAAATAGATTTAATGGGAAAGAATATATAGTAGTGACTCAGATTTAAGATGCTTAATCTTATTTAACATGAACATGACTATACATGATAACTTAAAAGTATTTCTAAAGAGGGTATTCTACAAATGCACTTAATATTAATTTTCTAATTATTTGCATATATCTTTCTTTTAGGATCCTTCCTGAGCGTTTCCTGGCAGTTTTAAAACGAAAAATCAGTGTTAAGTTTGATGCAGTTATTGGATATAAAATGAAAGCGCAATAAGCACCTAGTTTTCTGAAAACTGATTTACCAGGTTTAGGTTGATGTCATCTAATAGTGCCAGAATTTTAATGTTTGAACTTCTGTTTTTTCTAATTATCCCCATTTCTTCAATATCATTTTTGAGGCTTTGGCAGTCTTCATTTACTACCACTTGTTCTTTAGCCAAAAGCTGATTACATATGATATAAACAGAGAAATACCTTTAGAGGTGACTTTAAGGAAAATGAAGAAAAAGAACCAAAATGACTTTATTAAAATAATTTCCAAGATTATTTGTGGCTCACCTGAAGGCTTTGCAAAATTTGTACCATAACCGTTTATTTAACATATATTTTTATTTTTGATTGCACTTAAATTTTGTATAATTTGTGTTTCTTTTTCTGTTCTACATAAAATCAGAAACTTCAAGCTCTCTAAATAAAATGAAGGACTATATCTAGTGGTATTTCACAATGAATATCATGAACTCTCAATGGGTAGGTTTCATCCTACCCATTGCCACTCTGTTTCCTGAGAGATACCTCACATTCCAATGCCAAACATTTCTGCACAGGGAAGCTAGAGGTGGATACACGTGTTGCAAGTATAAAAGCATCACTGGGATTTAAGGAGAATTGAGAGAATGTACCCACAAATGGCAGCAATAATAAATGGATCACACTTAAACTTTTGGTGTTTCCATCTTTTTGTCTTAAACAGAACATGACAACCTTCAAATTAAAGGAAAATAAATTGTGCAATCTTTTTTTAAAAACTGGAAATTTCTTGGATGTGAGGCTCATTGAGATGGGACTATAAGATCAGATCTATAAATTTAAAAATTTAGTAGGTTTGTTAGGTTTCTTCTACGAAAGAAAAATATTTTCAAGACTATATCAAACACGGCTGGTCACAGTGGCTCACGCCTGCAATCCCAGCACTTTGAGAGGTCGAGGTGGGTGGATCACAAGGTCAGGAGTTTGAGACCAGCCTGGCCAACATGGTGAAACTCCATCTCTACTAAAAATACAAAAATTAGCTGGGCGTAGGCCAGGCGCAGTGGCTCATGCCTATAGTCCCAGCACTTTGAGAGGCCAAGGCGGGCGGATGATTTGTATGCATATTAAAATTTGAGAAGCACTTCTTTGGAGCAGTAGCATCCTGGCCAACATGGTGAAACCCCATTTCTACTAAAAATCCACAAACATTAGCTGGGTGTGGTGGCGGGTGCCTGTAGTCCCAGCTACTTGAGAGGCTGAGGCAGGAGAATCACTTGAACCCAGGAGGTTGAGGTTGCA
Organism: Homo sapiens; assembly: GCF_000001405.40. Lineage (NCBI taxonomy): Eukaryota > Metazoa > Chordata > Mammalia > Primates > Hominidae > Homo > Homo sapiens. Next base: position 87,335,998 of record NC_000004.12, on the reverse strand, counting down.
GCGAGCCGAAATGGTGCCACTGCACTCCAGCCCGGAGACAGAGGGAGACTCCGTCTCAAAAAAAAAAAAAAAAAAAAAAATTAGCTGGGTGTGGTGGTGGGCACTTGTAATCTCAGCTACTCAGGAGGTTGGGCCAGGAGAATCATTTGAACCCCGGAGGCGGAGGTTGTAGTGAGCCAAGATTGTGCCACTGCACTCCAGTTTGGGCAATAGAGCAAGACTCCATCTCAAAAATAAATAAATAAAAATAAAAAAGGCTATGTCAAACACATACACATGGAGAACTTTAATCCTTTTATCAGACAGTTCATATTCAGAAAACACATAAGGCAGAATCCTTTAACATCCTGTTAAATGTAGCAAGTGAGCTACATTTAGGTTCAGAAAATTTTTGGAGAAAGATTTTGATCCAGATTTTAAGCAGAAACTAATATTTATGCAACATATGTCAGTTACTGTCCTAAACACTTAACTTACATCAATTAGCCCATTCAACAAGTTAAGTAATATCATCAGTGTCATCACAAATTATAAGGATCATTTGGTAATATGTTTAAGGAAGGTTACGTTACAGATTCTATAACATATAAGATAATTTCTCAGAAAGCATCATTTCTATGGTAAATTTCTCCCTCTTTCCCATCAACTACCTTCTTCTAATTCAGAGAATCAAAATAGCATTGCTGTTGGACTACAGTTTGCATTTAGTTAGTGTAAATACATATGGGTCAAAAATTCTTGTCTCCCAAACATTATATTTGAATAATATAACTTAGATTCCTCTCCATACCTCAGCTATACTCTACTAGCACTCTAGGGTTGACTATCCACAGAATTTATAGATTAAAACACCTATCCTGGTAACAGAAATGACACTAGAAAGTGGAGAGCCTGTTACACTCAGCTTCTAACTCACTTTGAAATAGATTTAATTGTTTATTCTTTTATTTAAATTATACTTGTTCCAGACTGCTAGCCACCTGCCAGTGAAGTAGACTAGGAGAAAGCCTTTAGCAAACTTTAGTAAGATAATCAAGGCCCAAATATACTGACAACTTTTCCTAATAAACATATTTTGGCTCCTAGAACACTTGTCATAAATTAACATTTGGATGAACTTTAGCGTTAACCATTATGAGAAATAAGCATTACTTCTTTTGATGTTATGTGGGCAAATGGTAGTGTGCCCCATTTACTGAATGTTAACCATGTGGCAGGCACAGTTTGCCACTTAGTCCTTCAGCAGTCCTGTGCAGAAGGCATTGTTAGAAGGCATTGAACTAGCTGTGAACACAGCAGTAGTAGCAGAAACCCAGAAGAACCTTGGAGTCTATAGCCCTTACTCTGGAGAAAAGATGAATGACTATAGTATCATGGGGATTTTGAATTTTGATAAGAAGAAGGAGAGGAAGAGGAGGAAGGGGAAGGGGAGGAGGAGGAGGAGGGAAGAAGAAGAAGGGAAGAGGAAGAGGGAGAAGAAGAAGAAAAGAAGAAGAAGAGGAAGAAAAGAAGAAGAAGAAAGAAGCTTTCCAACATTAGTCTCAAAGTCTGAAAGCTTGTCAATGTTATTTGAATGAAGTTTATCCTAACTCTGATTTCACTTCTCAGCAGTTTGGTGGGAAGATTCATCTCGGTCATCAATAGAGCCAATTCTGAGAGACATACTAAAATCAAAGAGCTTTAGGTTGTCTTCAGGTAAATGGGGAATGATTTCTCATTGCCAACTAGTATGATATTCTGTGGTCCTGAACCAGGGGATTCATTAATAGCTGGAACTACAGGTGTACAACACCATACCTGGCTAATTTTTTTTTTATGGTTGAGATGAGGTCTCACCATCTTGCCCAGGCTGGTCTTTTATTTATTTATTTTTATTTTTATTTATTTATCTTTTGAGACGGAGTCTCACTCTGTCACCAGGCTGGAGTGCAGTGGCGCAATCTCAGCTCACTGCAACCTCCACCTCCCAGGTTGAAGGGATTCTCCTCCCTCAGCCTCCTGAGTAGCTGGGACTACAGGTGTGTGCCACCACGCCCAGCTAATTTTGTATTTTTAGTAGAGACAGGGTTTCACCATGTTGGCCAGGATGGTCCTATCCCTTGACCTTGTGATCTGCCTGCCTCCACCTCCCAAAGTGCTGGGATTACAGGCATGAGACACTGTGCCCGGCCCAGGCTGGTATTGAACTCCTAGGTTCAGGTGATCCTCTTGCCTCATCCTCCCAAAGTGCTGAGATTACAGGTGTGAGCCACCATGCCCAGCCTAATCTTTTTCTTTATTTTTGTCTGACTGAGTAACTATCCCCAAGACACATAATCATCCGATTCTCAAAGGTTGAAATGAAAGAAAAAACTTTCCAGGCAGCTAGAGAGAAGGGGCAGGTCACATATAAAGGGAACCTCATCAGGCTAACAATGGACTTTTCAGCAGAAAACCTACAAGCCAGAAGATATTGGGGGCCTATATTCAGCATTCTTAAATAAAAGAAATTCCAACGAATAATTTTATACCTAGCCAAACTAAGCTTCATAAGTGAAGGAGAATTAAGATCTTTTTCAGACAAGCAAATGCTAAGGGAATTTATTACCACCAGGCCTGCCTTATAAGAGGTCCTAAAGGGAGTGCTAAATATGGAAAAGATAGATCATTACCATCCACTACAAAATCACACTTAGGTACATAGACCATTGACACTACAAAGCAACTGCACAAGCAAGTCTGCAAAATAACCAGTTAACAACAAAATGACAGGATCAAATCCACACATATCAATATTAAACTTGAATGTAAATGGGCTAAATGCCCTAATTGAAAGGCCTGGAGTGGGAAGTTGGATAAAGAAGCAAGACTCAATGACACGGTGTCTTCAAGAGACCTTTCCCACATGCAGTGACACCCATAGGCTCAAAGTAAAGGGATGGAGAAAAATCTACCAAGCAAATGGTAAGCAAACAAAAATCACGGGTTGCTCTTCTAATTTCAGACACACTTTAAACAAACAAAGACCAAAAAAGACAAAGAAGGGCATTACGTAATGGGAATAAGAAGACCTAACTATCCTAAATATGCTCCCAACACAGGAGCACATGCAGATTCATTAAACAAGTTTATGGAGACCTATGAAAAGACTTAGGTAACCACAAAATAACAGTGGGAGACATCAACACCCAACTGACAATATTAGACACATCATTGAGGCAGAAAACTAACAGATTTTTCAGGACCTGAACTCAACACTGACCATATGGGCCTAAGAGATACCTACAGAACTCTCCACCCACGAACAACAGAATATACATTCTTATTTGCACATGGCACATACTCTAAAATCAACCACATAATTGGACATAAAACAATCCTCAGCAAATTAAAAAAAAACCGAAATCATACCAAGCATATTCTTGAACCACAGCACAATTAGTATAGAAATCAATACTAAGAAAATTGTTCAAAACCATACCATTACATGAAAATTGAACAAACTGCTCCTGAATGACTATTTGGTAAACAATCAAATTAAAGCAGAAATCAAGAAATACTTTGAAACTAATGAGAACAGAGATACAAAATACCAGAATCTCTGGGACACAGTTAAAGCAATGTCAAGAGGGAAGCTTATGGTGCAAAATGCCCAATCAAAAAGTTAGAAAGACCTCAAATTAACCACCTAACATCACATGTAGAGGAACTAGAGAAATGAGGGCAAACCAACCCCAAAGCCAGCAGAATAAAAGAAATAACCAAAATCAGAGCTGAAAGGAAGGAAATGGAGATGCAAAAAAAATACAAAAGATCAGCGAATCCAAGAACTGGTTCTTTGAAAGAATAAATGAGATAGATAGACCACATAGCTAGACTAATGAAAAAAGAGAAGATCCAAATAAACACAATCAGCGATGACAAAGGGTAACCACTAACTATACAGAAATACAAAAAAACCCTCAGAGACTACTATGAATACTCCTAGGTACAGAAGTTGTAAAACCTAGAAGAAATGGATAAATTCCTGGAAATACAACCTCCCAAGATTGAACCAGGAAGAAATTGAATCCCTGACCAGACCAATAAGGAGTTCCAAAATTGAATCAGTAATAAAAGCCTAACAACAAGAATAAGCCCAGGACCAGACAGAATCACAGCCAAATTCTGCCAGATATATTAAGAGCTGGTACCATTCCTACTGAAACTATTCCAAAAAAATTGAGGAGGGGGGACTCCTCCCTAACTCATTCAATGAGGCCAGCATCACCCTGATACCAAAACCTGGCAGAGACACCACAAAAATGAAAACTTCAGGCCAGTGCCCTTAATGAACATAGATGTAAAAATCCTCAACAAAATACTAGCAAACTGAACTCAGTAGCACATCAAAAACCTAATCCACCACAGTCAAGTAGGCTTTATACCTGGGATATAAGGTTGGTTCAACATACGCAAATCAATAAATATGATTCATCACAGAAACAGAACTAAAAACAAAAACCACATGATCATCTCAATAAATGCAGAAAAGGCTTTCAATAAAATTCAACATCTCTTCAGGTTAAAAACTCTCAACACACTAGGCGTCGAAGGAACATACTTCAAAATAATAGAGCCATCTATGAAAAACCCACAGCCAATGTAATACTGAATGGGCAAAAGCTGGAAGCATTCCCCTTGAAAACTGGCACAAAACAAGGATGCCCTCTCTCACAACTATTCAACACAGTACTGGAAATCCTAGCCAGAGCAACCAGGCAAGAGAAAGAAATAAAAGGCATCCATATAGGAAAAAAGGAAGTCAAACTCTGCCTGTTTGTAGGTGAGATACAATTCTATATCTAGGAAAATCCCATAATCTCTGCCCAAAAGCTCCTTGATCTGTGATATGGTTAGGCTTTGCGTCCCCACCCAAATCTCATGTTGAATTGTAATCCCCACGTGTCAAGGGAGAGACCAGGTGGAGGTAATTGAATAACGGGGGCAGTTTCTCCCATGCTGTTATGATAGTGAGTTCTCACGAGATCTGATGGTTTTATAAGGGGTACTTCCCCCTTCACTGGGCACTTCTCCTTCCTGCTGCCTTGTGAAGAAGGTGCCTTGCTTCCCCTTTGCCTTCTACCATGATTGTAAGTTTCCCCAGGCCTCCCCAGCCATGATGAACTGAGTCAACTAAACCTTTTTTCTTTATAAATTGCCCAGTCTTGGGTGGTTCTTTATAGCAGTATGAACATGGACTAATACAATCTAATAAACAACTTTAGCAATGCTTCAGGATACAAAATCAATGCACAAAAGTCAGTAGCATTCATATACATAAACAACATCCAAGCTGAGAGCCAAATCAAGAAGCAATCCCATTCACAATAGCTGTGAAAAGAATAAAATACCTAAGAATAAAACTAACTAGGAAAGTGAAAGATCTCTACAATGATAATTACAAACACTGCTCGAAGAAATCAGAAATGACACAAACAAACGGAAAAATATTCCATGTTCATGAGTGGAAGGAAATCAATATTGTTAAAATGGCCATACTGCCCAAAGCAATTTATAGACTTAATGCTATTCCTATCGAACTACCAATGACATTCTTCACAAAATTAGAAAAAAAAACTATTTTAAAATTCATATGGAGGACAGGCACGGTGGCTCACACCTGTAATCCCAGCACTTTGGGAGGCTGAGGCAGGCAAATCACAAGGTCAGGAGTTCGAGACGAGCCTGGTCAACATGGTGAAACCGCATCTCTACTAAAAGTACAAAAATTATCCAGGCATGGTGGCGAGCACCTGTAATCCCAGCTACTCGAGAAACTGAGGCAGGAGAATCGCTTGATCCCAGGAGGCGGAGTGCAGTGATCCAAGATCAAGCCACTGCACTTAGACAGCTTGAGCAACAGAGGGAGACTCCATCTCAAAACAACAAAAAAAAACAAAACCATGGATGGAGCTGGAGGCCATTAGCCTAAGCAAACTAACACAGGAACAGAAAACCAAATACCACATGTTCTCACTTATATGTAGGAGCTAAACATCAAGTACGTATAGACATAAAGAAGGGAAAAACAGACACAGGGGCCTACTTGAGGGTGGAGGGTGGTAGGAGGGTGAGGATCGAAAAACTACCTATTGGGTATTATGCTTATTACCTGGGTGGCAAAATAATCTGTGTACCAAACCCCCAAGACATGCAATTTACCTGTATAACAAACCTGCACATGTACTCCTGAACCTAAAAATAAAAGTTAAAAAAAGATATCTGAGATTGTGTCATGCTTCAGGCTCAAAATCCTCCATTAATTTCTCATCTAAAACTTAAAGCTAAAGTACTTACCATGACTTTACAAGGCGATATGTAATCCAGCCTTTTGTCCCTACAATTACCCCACTACCTTACTACCTGTATAAATCAGGGTTCTCCAGAGAAACAGTAGGAGATTGTGTATGCGTACATTTATATATACACACAGCACACACACACATACACGGAGAGAGAGAGATGTATTTCAAGAAATTGAGGAATTGGCTTAAGTGATTGTGGGAGGCTAGCAGGTCTGAGATCTGTAGGGTAGCCTAGAAAGCTGTAAACTCTTAGGTGGGAACTGATGGTGCAATGTTGAAGCAGAACCTCTTTTGACTCAGGGAAACCTCAGTTTTGCTTTCACAACCTTCCAACTAATTGGTTAAGGCCCATCCACATTATAAAGAATAATTTCCTTTACTTAAATACTACTGAATATAGATGTTAACCGCATGTACAATACCTTCACAACAACACCTAGATTAGTGTTTGATTGGATAACTGGGGACTATAGCCTAGTCATGTTGACCCATGAAACTAACTGTCGCACTATCCTCACCCTCATTCAATTCTCTCCAGCTACATAGGTCCCCTTGATGCTCCCTCAACCCACCAGGCATGTTTCTACTTCAAGGCCTTAGTATATTACTGTTCACTCTCTCCAGATGCTCTTCCTCCAGATATCTACATAGCTAGCCCCTTCTTTCTTTTTTTTTTTTTTTTTTTTTTTTTTTTTTGAGACGGAATCTCGCTCTGTCGCCCAGGCTGGAGTGCAGTGGCGCGATCTCGGCTCACTGCAAGCTCCGCCTCCCGGGTTCACGCCATTCTCCTGCCTCAGCCTCCCAAGTAGCTGGGACTACAGGCGCCCGCCACTACGCCCGGGTAATTTTTTGTATTTTTAGTAGAGACGGGGTTTCACCGTTTTAGCCGGGATGGTCTCGATCACCTGACCTCGTGATCCGCCCGCCTCGGCCTCCCAAAGTGCCCTTCTTTCTTTTAAGTCTGTTTGCTTAGGTCTTTCTTTTGAGGTCTTCTTACTCTATACGTAAAACTGCAACCCTACCCCACACAGCCATACCCTACAAGATTCCATTTCTCCCTCTATTCTCTATTTTTTTCCTTGGCATTTATCACTGTAGAGCATTCTATACATTTTGTTTATTTATCTTCTTTATTGTCTACATTGCCCCTAGAGTGTTAGTTTCCCAAGGGAACAGATTTGCTTTCATCTATTTTGTTCACTGGTATTACCCCAATACCTGGAATAGTCTCTGAAACAAACCAAGTGTTTTCTATATATTTAATAAATAAAGGCCTATATATCGTATTATTCTGTTTCCTTAATGTCTCATTTGCCACCACCCTCATTCAGGGCACTGTGACTTCTGGGCTACAGGATGATGATGATGATTTTGAGACAGGGTCTCACTCCTGGGCCCAGGCCTAGAGTGCAGTGGCGCAATCTCAGCTGACTGCCACCTCCACTTTCTAGGCTCAAGCTATCCTCCCACCTCAGCCTCCTAAGTAGCTGGGACTATAGGCACATGCCACCATGCCCAACCACTTTTTGTATTTTTTGTAAAGATGGGGGTCTCCCTGTGTTTCCCAGGCTGGTCTCGAGCTCCTGAGCTCAAGAGATCCACCCACCTTGGCCTTTCAAATTGCTGAGATTACAGGCGTGAGCCACTGTGCCCAGCCTGGTCTAGATTAATGAAAAGCTTCCTAACTGGTCTCCCTCCATCTATTCTTGTCCTCCCTTCAATGCATTCTCCAAACTGCAGCATTTCTGGGGTGTGCATCTGATGGTATGGGTTCCCTGTTCAACACCTTTCACTAGCCCTTACTGATCCTATGCTCTGAGTGATTGAGCCTCTGCTAAGTTATCTAACTTCTCTCTACCCCACACCCTGCTTCCAAGACAGAACTTCTTTTTTATTTTTGTTGTTTTTTGTTTTTGTTTTTTTGAGACAGGGTCTCACTCTGTCAGGCTGGAGTGCAGTGACACAGTCTCAGCTCACTGCAACCTCCGACTCCCAGATTCAAGTGATTCTTGTGCTTCGGCCTCCTGAGTAGCTGGGACTACAGGCACATACCACCAGGCCTGGCTAATTTTTGTATTTTAGTAGAGACGGGGGTTCCACCGCGTTGCCCAGGCTGGTCTCGAACTCCTGGCCTCAAGTGATCCACCTGCCTCAGGCTCCCAAAGTGCTAGGATTACAGGCCTGAGCCACCGTGCCCAGCCAGAACTTCTTATTCCTTGACCTCACCATGATTCCTCACCTCCTAGTGTTGGCATACCTGGTTTTCTGTATATGGAACACTCTTATCTCCTTCATCACTGGCTTACTCCTGTCATCCTCAGGGCCCCATTTATAGCTCAACTCCCACTTCCATTCTCAGGGCTGGGTAATTTGCCCTTCCTGTGAACTCCTGTTGCTCCTTATATGCAGCTGTCATAGCACTTTGCACCAGGTAGAGAGTAAAAGAGGTAAAAGGACAAGAGATTTCTGTTTTCTTAAGGAAAGGGGAAGCCAGAAAACAGAGGTAATCACTGTAGACTAATTTGACAGTAAAATATGGAAGACAGGATGATTTTGTTGAATATTTTTATAATGGGAGAGATCTGAAAATATTTGAAAGCAAAAGAGACAACTTTTAGGCAGGAAGAGTTTGGAATAAACAGAGGAAGAAGAATTAGGAGAAAATAAAAGAAAGATTGAGAACCAGACTATAGAGATCGGGATGCTCTCTTTGGTACTACAAGGAGGATTGGTATGGAGTGATGAAGCAAAAGGTTTTGTAATCCAAAACATGCCAAGGCTCTGCATGAAATATGAGTTTGGGGTTTGTGTATTTGGATAGGGGTTTTGGAACCTCAAGGAGAGGTTTATATGTCTTTTAAGAATACCTAATACTGTGTTATCAGTTTGCCAGTATACATGAATAGAACCCTTGGCAATGAACTAATGAACCCCACCAGGAAGGAAAAGAAAAGAGTATGTATTTGAAGAGATTATATTCCCAAACCTCTACGTGTCAGATTACTACAGTTAGCCTAAACAAACAGTAGATTAATGGGCATAATTTCCATAACGTCCTCATTTTATGATCTTCAGAGAAATGATGGCTTAGTGTTGACCCTTTGTACAAAGATAATTATTCTTACTGAATAAAGATAATTACATTTCTAAAACCGGTAGGCAGATGGCTCTCAAAAGGGACATTAATGAAAGGAAAAAAAAAGCAGACCAAAATTTAGAAAATGTCTTATTTTAATAAGATTCTAAATGCTATGGATGATTTTAGCTAAGTTGAGAAAATTTTACTGAAAGCATCTCATCCTAAAATGTGAGTGAAAGACAAATTAATGATAAATTTAAGGTACCTTCATTCATATCAGTAGGAAACTGACCTAAAATGTGATCAAAGCAAATTAAACATTTTTACTTGTTATGAAAATTTGTTGAAATGAAGCCAGTGATGTCATAAAGACATACAAACAAAAAGTCTCTAAAACTTAAGGAAAAAAATCAAGGGGGGCCAGGTGCAGTGGCTCACGCCTGTAATCCCACCATTTTGGGAGGCCGAGATGGGTGAATCACTTGAGGTCAGGAGTTCGAGACCAGCCTGGCCAACATGGTGAAACCCCATCTCTATTAAAAATACAAAAATTAGCCAGGCGTGGCGGCGGGTGCCTGTAATCCCAGCTACTCAGGAGGCTGAGGCACAAGAATCACTTGAACCTGGGAGGCGGAGGTTGCAGCGAGCTGAGATTGTACCACTGCACTCCAGCCTGGGCGATAGAGCGAGACTCCGTCTCAAAAACAAACAAAACAAAACAACAACAACAACAACAACAAAATCAAGGGACAAAGTGTATGTTTCTAGCATTGTTGGGGCAAATATGAACCCTGTAATTGAGGAACATGAACATTCCGTCCCATAGAAAACAAGCAAAAAGAAAAAAAAAGAGAGAGAGCTCACTAGGTTGTCTCATATGAAATAAAATTTCTCAGCAACCAAACTATTTGAGAACAATGTTAAGAAGTGTTGTTCACTGTCTCAAAGATTCTTAATTCTTGCATAATACAAATATCCAGTGGGTAAAATAATCTAGATTCCACTGTAAATTTTAAAACTGCCTTTCAAAACTGCATCAGTACTGTATTGATTTAGATAGCATTGGTCTGGCCCCCTCTGAGCAAGCTGGATATTCAAATATAGACATTCAATCTGAAAACAGATTCCTGCACTGCAGCCCAGCATGAGGTCTGATCTAAAGCACCTATGTCAATATTTAACAGCTCCATATACATGTCACAGCAAACCTGCATGCAGAAAGATATAACCAAGTACTATTTTTTTGCCATAAATTTATCCAAGGTTCAAACTGAAAGAACCAATTACACTGTCTCCAATATAATATAAGTATAGGCCAGGTCTCAACCTTAGTTGAGGGTACTCACGTTTGGGCTAAATAATTCTTGGTTTCAATGCACAAGGCTTTCCTATGAATTGTAAAGTGTTCAGCAGCTTCCCTGGCCTCTACCTATTAGATAGATGACAGTGGCATGCCTAAATTGTGGCAACAAAGAATGTCTCCAGACATGCCAAAATGTACCCTGTGGAACAAAAGTAATCCTAGTTGAGAACCACTGATCTAAGTTAAAAGTTGAGGCTACAGCATCAGGCTTCCTGGGTTTCAATCCTCACTCCACCTCTTGCCAGCTGTTACTTTATGCTTACAAATAAGTTACCTAACTTGCCTATACATCAGTTTCCACATCTGTACAATGCAGATTTTAATAGCACCTACTTCAAATGTATGTTGTGAAGATTAAACAAGTTGATATGTAAAGCCCTTAAATCAGTCCATGATATATAGTGATTAACACATTCGCATTCTTACTATAATTAGTATTTGATTTATATAACCATTCACTACTTGCAAAACTATTTCATAAACATATTCTCTTATTTGATCCTTATAGCCACTTTGTGTGTTGGCATATGAGGGAAGGTTGAGGTTGTTATGTGCTCTGAAGGTCTATGTTGGGTAATGTGTGCTTTTTTAAAAAATATCTATTTTCTAGTTAAGGAAACTGTAGCATAGAGAAAATAAATAGGATTGCTAGAAATCACACACACGTAACATACAATTTACCATTTTAACTATTTTGTAATGTACAGATCAGTAGCATTAAGCACATTCACATTGTTGTATAACCATCACCACCATTCACCTGCGGAGCTTTCATCATCCTAACTGAAACTCCATACTCATTAAACAATAATTCCCCATTCCTTTTCTCCTCATCCCCTAGTAACCACCTTACTGCTTTCTGTCTCTCTCTGTGTATTTGACTACTCTAGGTACCTCATATAAATGGAGTCATACAATATTTATACTTTTGCATCTGGCTTATTTCACTTAGCATAATGTCATTAAGGTTCATCTATCTAGTAGTATGTGTCAGAATTTCCTTCCTTTCTAAGGCTGAGTAATATTCCATTGCATGTATATATCATATTTTGTTTATCTGTTGATGAACACTGGGGTTGTTCCCACTTCTTGGCTATTGGAAGTTGCTATAGGCTGCATGTGTTCCTTCAAAATTCATATTATGAAATCCTATCTCCCAGTGTGATGGTTTTAGGAAGTGAGACCTTTGGGAGGTGATTAGGTCATGAGAGCTCTGCCATGGGAATAATTGCCCTTATACAAGAGAACACGGAGGGTTTCCTTCCTCCTTCTGCCACTTGAGGTGACAGTGAAATGACAGCCATCTATCAACCAGGAAGCCAGCTCTTACCAGACAAAGAATATGCCAGCGCCTTGATCTTGGACTTCTTGTGAGAAATAAGTTTCTGGAATTTATAAACCACCTGGTCAATGGTAATTTGTTACAGCAGCAGACAAAGACAGAAGCCACCCCACTTTAAAGTTGAGATTCCCGACTCCTGGTCTAATGCTCTTTCCAGTATTATCACAAAGGGAACTGATGGTTCTGTATCCTAAAATCTCCCCCAAACTCAAGAGATTTTCAGGGAAATGGTCATCATGTGTAAAATAATTAGCCAGTTGAAATATTGATGCTGAGCTTTTGTGAATAAATGAATCAAATAGCTAAGCTGGGTTCATTCAGACTTTATCTAAGTTTCTTTAAGCTTATCTCTACATTCTCCTTTTTCATATTGAAAAAAGGTAACAATTTCCAGAAAGATACCAACAGATCATTAGCTGATGCAGTATCTCCAGAATTCTTTTTCTTTTTTTTTTAGACCAGGCCTTGTTCTGTTGCTTAGGCTGGAGCGCAGTGGCACAATCACAGCTCACTGCACCACGAACTCATGGACTGAAGCAATCCTCCTGCCTCAGCCTCCTGGGTAGCTGGGACTACAGACACATGCCACCATATCCAGCTAATTTTTTTCTATAGTTTTTTTTTTTTTTTTTGAGACAGGGTCTTACTATGTTGCCCAGACTGGTCTCGAACTCCTGGGCTCAAGCAATCCTCTGCCTCAGCCTCCCAAAGTGCTGGGATTACAGATGTGAGCCACTGCACCTGGCCCCTAGAATTGTTTCTAGAGGTGAAACTTCAAGGTGAAATATAGTACATAACTGCTTTTCAGATAAACAAGTCCAGAGAGCACACTCTCTTGTGCTCTTGGCATCACTTGGCATCACTTCATATTTGAGGTGTTTCAAACCCATTAGAACACGTGAACAAGGCCTGCTTCCAAAGCTGGCTTCCATCTGGTAGTCCCATTAACAACTGGGCACACCCCTTCCCTAGAGCTCTGTGTAGACAGTACCTCCTCCCTAGGACTACACAAGGACTGAACCAGAAGGAAGAGGACAGAGCAAAGCCATGAACATCATCCTAGAAATCCTTCTGCTTCTGATCACCATCATCTACTCCTACTTGGAGTCGTTGGTGAAGTTTTTCATTCCTCAGAGGAGAAAATCTGTGGCTGGGGAGATTGTTCTCATTACTGGAGCTGGGCATGGAATAGGCAGGCAGACTACTTATGAATTTGCAAAACGACAGAGCATATTGGTTCTGTGGGATATTAATAAGGTAATGTATACATCTTCCAACTTTTTAAAGTCACAGAGTAAGATATGTATTTTAAGAATTATTTGACTTACCATCTACTTATCTTTGTATTTTTGTTTTTCAAAGTTTGATAAATTCCCTGGTCCCTTAGTCTGTATATGTGTCAGGTTAGTTAGATGAAGGGAATGTAATTAAGAACTAAGCAGCGATTTTTATGACATGGTGTGCAGGTTGATAGAAAGACTCAGGAGCCAGTCTCCTTCCAAGCTGCTAAATGAGGCAAGTCACATATTATCTCTCAGCCTGTTTTCTTGGCTCTGAAGTGGGGATAATAACTTAGGGGATGGGCAAGAACGGGATCTGAAAATTACAGCTACAAACAAAAGTCAAACGAAGAACTTGCAACAGAAACCTTTAGTGCCTCCCCTCATGCACAAGCAACACAGTTCTAAAATATTTACTGTCTGACCCTTTACAGAAAATGTTTGCCAGTCCGTAGTCAAAAGGATTAAATAAGTAATATTTTCAGCACTTAGCATATGATAAACGATACGTGGCACATGATAAACAATAACTGTGTTAAATAAAATATGTGCGCAGTGAGTCAGGCTTTTCCTTGGACATTAGTATTTTTCCTGTGTTCTTACTTGTAAACACTACATTAACAACCCCAAATAAAACTGAAGGAACTGAAATCTTGTATCATTTTCTCTAAACTTGTAAATTCTGGTAAGGCCATGAAAATATATGCAGAGAAGTGTTTACAGGATTTTAGGATTGGAAAAATTGTGAAGTACTCCTTGAGAATCACATTTTCTGCAAATTACAGTGGTTTTAATTACCATTATATTATTACTTTCTCATGTTCTTTGCTGTCATGTTTAGTTGAAACCTAAAATGTCTCTTACACTTAGAGAACTAATTCTTTTCTGTTTTTTTTCTGAATAGTGAAGAATACTATACAAAAAAGCTACTACATTTTTATTTAACAGATATGAGCATTTATATAATAGAGGAGTTGATGTATATAAAAATGATTTGCCATCTTTTTGGTCTTTGAAGAAATTCGAATGAACTTTCTGGAAGATAGCAAGAATTTACAAATAGAGAAAATTGTTGCCTGCTGTTCTCAGGCATTTGTCCAAAAATATAAATAAGTATAAATCTATGAAAAGGGCTTGATGAAATCTAACCTTCAAATCTCTTTCCAGATGTGTATTTTTGGGGAAAGGGCTATATTTATTAAGTTTTTTTTAAATTTTAAAATTTCCAGAGACAAGAGAAAAGTAAATTAGAAGGAAGTCGTATTAAAAATGACTTAAGGGCGGGTGCAGTGGCTCACACCTGTAATCCCAGCACTTTGGGAGACGGAGGTGGGCAGATTGCTGGAGCCCAGGAGTTCAAGACCAGCCTGGGCAGCACAGCAAAACCCCCAACTCTACAAAAAATACAAAAATTAGCTGGGTGCGGGGGTGCACACCCGTAGTCCCAGCTACTCGGGAGGCTGAGGTGGGAGGATCGTTTCAGTTCAGGAAGCCAAGGCTGCAATGAGCTATGATGGCATCATTGCACTCCAAGCTGGGCAATAGAGCCAGGCTCTGTCTCAAAAAAAATAAAAAAAGACTTAAGAAAAATAGGTAACCCAACCTCAAAAATTCTCTTTGAATCATTAAATTTCATGGTTAAACATTTAAGCTACTGAATGATTCACTCTAAGGCTGTAATGTAACTCAGATCTCCTTTAGGCGAGGAAGATGCTGGCTGAGTTTTCATCATAACTGGCTCCTTTTGCCCTGTGAGATGAGAGACACAGTAGCAGTTTGGCTCTTATGCAATCTAAACTGTTGCGTTGGGAATACGGTTCAAAAAACACATTGGAGTTTAAGCTAAAGCAAGTGTTTTGCTAACAAAAAGACAAGGCATCACATTTTGCAATTGTCTAGCTCAGTTATAAAACAGAAGAATAGGCCGGACGCGGTGGCTCACGCCTGTAATCCCAGCACTTTGGGAGGCCGAGACGGGCGGATCACGAGGTCAGGAGATCGAGACCATCCTGGATAACACAGTGAAACCCCGTCTCTACTAAAAATACAAAAAAATTAGCCAGGCGTAGTGGCGGGCGCCTGTAGTCCCAGCTACTCGGGAGGCTGAGGCAGGAGAATGGTGTGAACCCGGGAGGCGGAGCTTGCAGTGAGCCGAGATGACGCCACTGCACTCCAGCCTGGGCGACAGAGCGAGACTCCGTCTCAAAAAAAAAAAAAAAAAAAAAACTGAAGAATAATTAATTCTTCAATCAAAACATCTGATGAATGCTCTGGTAACTTATGCTCTCTACTGACCTAGAAACAAATGAGAGAGTATGGTGTGGTTTGTGCAATCTGGCAGTGAGCAAGCTACCAACTAAATCAGTGAAAGACTCTCCTATTCTTTTTTTACTCTTCTGCAATCCCACAAAAGGCTATTTGAGGGGATACTGACTTTGAGACTGGGTCCTAACATCCATGTTTGGGGAGTTCAGGCTGCTGCTCCAGGGTTTAGCCTACAGTAGCGAAATACAAAGGACCCAGAGACCACTCATTCAAGGTTTGCCCTAAATAGCAGCAACACCACTGTCATCTCAATACACGAAGAATAGGGCTTTTCAGGTATCCTTGCCTCTTTGTCACAGAGAAGAGTTTACAGATTGTGAGACGGAAAAGTATAATTTTTAAAACCTTATAATATTTTCTATAAAAGTCACCTGAGGTGAAAACTTGAAAAGAATTATAATTTTCCAGAATGTGAGTCAAGAAACATTAGAGCAATTTTATCTTAGGAAAGAGGTCTTTGAATTTAGGCTGAAAGTAAATTGCTCTGTCTCCATGTCCTATGGTTATGGGCAAGTTTGGTACATAAATGAGAAATCCATCCAGTGGCCTTGCCCATCTCACTCCCAAACACCTGAAGAATGTAATGTTATATCTCCTAGAGTAGCAGCATGGTCTCCCTATGAAAGTCCTTCTTCTTTAAGGAGACTTCTTTCCCTTCCCTCCTAGGAGGATGAGTCAGAATCATCAAGAAAAATATGATGGGCAGAGGCATACAGTTTACCATTACCACTAGTTTAGAATTACTACTTAGCACTTTACTGCCTATTACATAGTTGGTGCTCAACAAATGTATGATAAATTAATGGTTGAGTTTTTCTTTCTTCTCCATATTCATCTTCCATGACACCACGAAGAGCAATGTTTTTCAAGAATGTTCTTCAAGGTTTGAAAGTAGCCTGCTTTAGAGAAACTGCCTACTGTACAGCCTCCAACCAAGAGGAAAAGCTGAAAAAAGCATGAAGGGATTTTGTTTTGTTTTGTTTGTTTTGGTTTTAATATGAGCATTCCCTGGCAGAAAAGCCAGGGGTAATCTCATTGCAACTAGGCAATCACTCTCAAGAAATTTTCTAACAAATAAGGAGGCCAATTTTTATTTTATTTTGAGACGAAGTCCCACTCTGTCACCCAGGTTGGAGTGCAATGGAATGATTTCAGCTCACTGCAACCTCCGCCTCCCGGGTTCAAGTGATTCTCCTGTCTAAACTTCCCGAGTAGCTGGGATTACAGGCTCCCACCACCACGCCCAGCTAATTTTTTGTATTTTTAGTAGAGATGGGGTTTCACCATTTTGGCCAGACTGGTCTCAAACTCCTGACCTCAAGTGATCCACCCTCCTCGGCCTCCTAAAGTGCTGGGATTACAGGCGTGAGCCACCACACCTGACCCAGGAGGCCAATTTTTAAAAGGTTAACTAATCTTCATGTCCAAAATGAATGTTAATTGTTCATTTTGGACATGAATGTTAATTTTTTTTTTTTTTTTTTTTGAGACAGAGTCTCACTCTGTTGCCCAGGCTGGAGTCCAGTGGCACTATCTCCACTCACTGCAACTTCCTCCTCCCAGGTTCAAGCAATTATCCTGCCTCAGCCTCCCAAGTAGCTGGGATTACAGGCCCACACCATCAGGCCTGGCTAATTTTTGTATTTTTAGTAGAGACGGGGTTTCACCATGTTGGCCAGGCTGGTCTTGAACTCCTGACCTCGTGATCCGCCCTCCTCGGCCAACCAAAGTGCTGGGATTACAGGCGTGAGCCACCGCGCCTAGCCGAATGTTAATTGTCTAAAAATTTTTCTTCTCCAATGTCTTCTCCTCCACTTTTTTCGGAATTTGTTTCTTCCTAATTACAGCGCGGTGTGGAGGAAACTGCAGCTGAGTGCCGAAAACTAGGCGTCACTGCGCATGCGTATGTGGTAGACTGCAGCAACAGAGAAGAGATCTATCGCTCTCTAAATCAGGTGAGACTGCAGGTTCACAAATTTCTTCAGATTATTTTGTTTCCTAGGACGCTGACGTGGAAAATGAGAAAGGTCTTTATGACTGCCTGATTTAAATTGGATTTTAGCTGCTAACTGAAGTAGTTATGTCACCAAGGAAGGATATATACTTTTTTTCTTGTATGTAATCCACTCAGCTCTGCCCATTATTATTGTTCATATTATTAATCAATTTCATTCTGATCAGAAGTGTGAGCAGTGGCACAGAGTGACTGACAAAAGATTTATCATCAGGGAATATGGATCACTTCCTAGTTTTGTTTTAGTCCTATTAACTTTGCAGTAATTCCAGCTTCTCTTTAATTATTTCCCTTGTGAGATTTTATTTTGGTGTTAATGTAGTCTTCTGTAGAAAATGTAATATTAATAATTATTATCACAATTATTTTAAAAGAGTAAATACCAAATAATCACAATGAACTAAGCACTCTAACAAACTTTACATTTTTTAATTCAATCCCTACAATAACTCTGTAAACTTCATTTTACAGATAAGCAAATTATGACTCAGAGAGGTTAAGCCAGACCCAGGTCATGTAGTTATTAGGTTATGAAACCAGGATTTCTCAACCAGCACTTTAGACCAGGTGCGGTGGTTCACACATGTAATCCCAGCACTTTGTGAGGCCAAGGTGGAAGGATCACATGAGACCAAGAGTTCAAGACCAGCCCAGGCAACATAGTGAGACCCTATCTCTAAAAAAAAAAAAAAAAAAAAAAAAAAAAGTTTAAAGAAAAACACATTTTTAAAAAATGAACACTTTAAAAATATTTGGTCAGAATTTATATAGGAATTTATCAACATAAATGTTAATTTCACTTTACTGATAAACTTGCAAAACATGATGTGCTGGGTACTGAAATTTAGATGTTAAAAGAACAGTTTATCCCACCTTTATGACAGTGTTCCCTTGGCCTCCACGATTTGAGCTCAACAGTCTGTCTTGCCTGAACTCTGAGAGACCTCATACAATAGAAGAAAGACTCTCATCTTTGGATTATATTGGTCCCAAAACTTTGAGTTTGAATAATACACCCAGTGAAAGTGTTCTTTCAATTTCAAAAGGTGAAGAAAGAAGTGGGTGATGTAACAATCGTGGTGAATAATGCTGGGACAGTATATCCAGCCGATCTTCTCAGCACCAAGGATGAAGAGATTACCAAGACATTTGAGGTCAACATCCTAGGACATTTTTGGGTGAGTGTGAGTCAGAAACATTTCTGATTTGTGCACCTTCTCTTAAGATACATGAAACTTATAACGGAGTTCACATACTTCTGGACAGGAAACTGGCCAGATCTTTGCCTTAATCAAGAATCATTAAATTTGTTTGAGTAGAAGAGCCACAGAGTCTCTGACACAAGGACACAGAATTCAAGTGGACACAACACACCAGAATGTAAGCTACTTGGTCTGTCTTGTCCACCAGTATCTGACACAAAGCTTGGCATGTACCAGGAGCTCAACAAATGTTTGTGGAGGTTTGTTAAGGGTTGTCAGTGTACATCTTTTCAATGCTGTCACTTGTGACTTCATTTTTTTCCCTCCACACCATGATTTTGTAATGTGTCCTCATTTTGTGGAATTTTAGAATGGAAAGGACATCAGAAGTAATTACTTGGATGTATATAGGATCGAGGACACTTTTGGACGAGACTCTGAGGCAAGTGTTCTAGATCCATGGGGTGCTGGAACTGAGAAATGCAGCTATACAGACCTCATATAATTGGTTAGTTTTGTGGGAGATGGAAATATCAACTTCAACTGCCTTTGTATAGAAATTTTTATGATTAATCTTCCAGTGCCTCAATATTAGTGTAGAATCTAGGGCAGATCTGGATTCTAGAAGAAAGAAGAAAAAAAAGAGATGTGTCCCCCTTACCTTTACCAGCTCTTCACATATGTGAATTGGCTCCCATGCCCACCAAACTACACGGAGACCTCATACATTAGCTACCTATAGCTGCATAACAAATTATACAAAACTTAGTGGTTTAAAGCAACAATGTATGTTCACTATCCTCTCACAGTTTCTATGGGTTGGGAATTTGGAGGTAGCTTGGGTTGGGAGTTCTAGTTCTATGAATTTGCATAGGATTTATTAAATTCTTATAAAATTTTATTGATGTTTCTCACAAAAGAGGTTTTTGGAAAAAAAGAAAGACTTGTTTTCTGTAACATCAACATATAATATACAATATTACAAATAGGGAGATAGTGAATTCAATCATGATTCATTAGTGTGGTGTAGAACTCTCAGCTTACACTACTCAACTGTCTTAATACAGTTACACAAGATTTCACTCTTTTAATTAGAATGATAAAGCCCCAAACCAAAAAATTATATGACACCAAATTATCATAAGGAATAATTTTAGTTCTGAAAACTCTGAATTTTTCCCTTAATATTGTTTAGATGACATATCCAAAAAAGGATCTATTTGATTCCTTCTGAAGGGAAGGAGGGGGAGTACTGAGATTAGTGTTGGCATGGGGCTTACCATACCAATAAATTTGTATCTTTATTTCTATCATTTGTAAAGAATTAATCATGGAATGCTTGGAAGTATTTTATTTCATTGTATAAGTTCTCTCAAATGCCTTTCTGTCTTAACAAAAATAAAACTACCTGATTTGGAAACCTAACGTCTATGTCATTGTCTTTCTTCTTTCTGCAATGATCCTTAAGATCACAAAAGCACTTCTTCCATCGATGATGGAGAGAAATCATGGCCACATCGTCACAGTGGCTTCAGTGTGCGGCCACGAAGGGATTCCTTACCTCATCCCATATTGGTAAGTATCACATGCCAGCCATGTTATATATTTTTATACTTTGAAGGGAGCATTACACTTCAAATTGTTACCACTGGAGAGTCCTGGTTCTTGGCATCTTGAACAAAGAATTGGACAAAACTCACCAACAAAGCCAGGAAAGAATGAAGCAACAAAAGCAGAGATTTATTGAAAATGAAAGTACGCTTTACAGGGTGGGAGTGGGCCCAAGCACAGGGGCTCAAGAGCCAATTACAGAATTTTCTGGGGTTTAAATACCCCCTAGAGGTTTCCACTGGTTACTTGGTGTACGCCCTATGTAAATGAAGAGGATGAATTAAAGTTACAGAGTCGTTTACTCAGTGTACACCATATGTAAATGGAGAGGATATTTCCTGTCATAGCTGGAGTGTTTCCATTTGATTTAGTTCTAGGAAGTCAGCATGAATCGGCCTTATGTTCCCTGCCTCCAGACCCTGTTCTCCTGCCTCAAGATTACAATGCTGAGAGCAGAGTGATTTGGATTTACAGAATTTAAATTTATAGTAGTTTAGAATGATTTTTTAAATGACTTTTTCTAAAACAATGAAACCAGGTTGTAATTATATTTAAGATATTTTTAGATTTCTGCAAACTCCTCTGTAGAACAATGAGAGAAAACAGTAATGCCAAGCATGTTTCCATTGTTTCCTGGAATAAGAAACAGAAACCCCACAGACTGAGAAGCAAAACCTACAGAAGCTAAAATGAACACATGTCTATGTCATGGCCTTGGTGCCCAAGATAAGACAATCAGAGTGGTCCCTGGATCAAAACATTTTACAGTGTGCTTGTGCCATGAAAGTGTGTGTGTGTGTGTGTGTGTGTGTGTGAGAGAGAGAGAGAGAGAGAAAACGACTCTACCTGACTAAAAGTTGCAGATACCACACTCCATGCACCACCAAAGACATAAAGGGAAGGAGGTGAGAGGCGTTAAGGATGTACTGCTGTATTTGCCAAATATCCTTTCCTGTAAACTCTTCTCCAGATCCTCATAATAAAATTAAGAGGCCAAAGTGGCAACCATTGTCAAGAGAAAAACTATCAACCATTGTCAAGAGAATAACTCAGTTATTGAGAGAGAGAGGAGAAATGAGCAGAGTCCTACAGAAGTCTGTCAACACAGATACCAGTTTTGTAGAATTTCTAAATGTATTTTTCCTGATTCATATTTTTCAAAATAAAAGCAGCAATAAAAACTGATTAGAAAACAGTTTGAAGATTCAATGGAAAAACCTTACATGTAGGATGGAAAACTGAACATTAAGCCAATCAATAGAGTTATTTTTGTTCTTTTGTTATCATTGTTGTTTAAGAAATGAGATACGTTCACAATTCTGCTTAATCATGTAAGAAAATGAAAATGAATTGCCATTTATACTCTCAGAAAAATCACAAGTGGCTGATTTTTGGCTTCCACTTGTTCTTAAGCCAAATGATACCGCCTTCTCACAGAAAGCTGAGGATTGGTTTCACTCTCCCTTAGCTAACAATGCTTAATAATTCTCTTACAGTTCCAGCAAATTTGCCGCTGTTGGCTTTCACAGAGGTCTGACATCAGAACTTCAGGCCTTGGGAAAAACTGGTATCAAAACCTCATGTCTCTGCCCAGTTTTTGTGAATACTGGGTTCACCAAAAATCCAAGCACAAGGTAAGGTCAAAATCAAGTTAGAATGGGTATGTGGTATGATAAATTGATATGAAAACTAATGAGAAATGTTTAGGCAGGCCAACTAATAGAAGAAAATGAAGAAGGAAAAATAATTTTTCTTATTATTATTATTATCTTGAAATTAAAGGAATAAAGGGGGAAAACACATTAGGGACTAGCAGGAATGATCAGCCACCGATGAACTGGGATATTTATTTGTGTCCGGGAGAAAGCACATACATTTGATCACCGTTACCACCCTGTCTTTAAAATGCAAATGTTCCAAGGACCAGCAAATAAATTGAGTATCTAGCTCCTTAGTCAAGGTGAATTTCTGCAAGAACTCTTGTCTCTGGTGAGACAGGATTTGAGACCACAAGAGAAGAAAAATTAGTCCTGAAAGGAGAAGAAAAAAGCAGGAAGGTGTGGATAAGAACCCGAAAATTAAGCCATCTGCTTAACAAATTTTTCTAATCCTAGTATATATTCTGCTGCAGGTTAACAAAATATACTAAGCTTAATGATTCGAAACCAATTTTTTACTGGAAGGGAATTAATCCTAAATATATTCATTCAAAAGAACTAAACAATTCTCTGTTGAGTGCCGCCTCATTTGAGGATACTGACTCTTACAGCCTGAGTTAGCTATGTGGTCTCTGCAGCTGGAATCACTCCCTGCCACTGGAGTCCTTCATGGTGTTAGACCATAGGTACTGTTGACTAAAGAAAAAAAAAAGTTTTTGTTTTTATTTTTGTTTTTTTTGAGACAGAGTCTCACTCTGTCACCCAGGCTGGAGTACAGTGGCGCGATCTCAGCTCACCGCAACCTCCGCCTTTCTGGGTTCAAGCAATTCTCCTTCCTCAGCCTCCTGAGTATTTGGATTACAGGCGCCCACCACCACGCCTGGCTAATTTTTGTATTTTTAGTAGAGACGGGGTTTCACCATGTTGGCCAGGCTGGTCTCAAACTCCTGACCTCAGGTGTCCTACCTGCCTTGGCCTCCTAAAATGCTGGGATTACAGGAGTGAGCCACCATGCCCGGCCAAAAAAATAAGTTTTTAAAGAATTAAAGGTCATCCTGGCTAACACAGTGAAACCCCGTCTCTACTAAAAAACACAAAAAAATTAGCCGGGCGTGGTGGCGGGCGCCTGTAGTCCCAGCTGCGCGGGAGGCTGAGGCAGGAGAATGGCGTGAACCCGGGAGGCGGAGCTTGCAGTGAGCCGAGATCGCGCCACTGCACTCCAGCCTGGGCGACAGAGCGAGACTCCGTCTCAAAAAAAAAAAAAAAAAAAAAAAAAAAAAGAATTAAAGGTGTTAATTTTATTTAGAAGCCTTACTGAAGACTACAGTCGGAGGCCTATAGCCTGAGAGCAGCCCTTTAGAGAGGTTCAGTTGAACTGTTCTGATAGTGGGGGCCATGTGCTCTATCCTGTATTGTCTTCAAAGCATCTTTCCAGAGAGCTGCACATTGTCACAGAGTCAGGGACTTTGTGAAATTATGCTGACAACCAGAAGTGAGTAAACGTGGCTTCTTACATTTGCTACGTTGTCTCACAGTACTTAATAAGTATGCAATATGTAAGTAAATACTATAGTACTATTGCAACTCCTGATTGTTTTCTTAGACAAGGAATTGGGCCCAATAAAAACCCTCTTGGTAGGCATTCAGGCTTCGTGTACCATGAGCTTTCCTAAGGGTATCCTGCCACTCTTGGGGAAGGCATGATAGATGAGGGGAGTAAGGATAATGGAACTCTGGGTACAGGGTTCCTGGGGGCTAACTTAGAGGTAGACACAGGCAATGCTAAATATTTGGGATTGATTTTATAGAGGTTGCTAGATTGTGAATTTCCTTAGTAAGGGCTAAGGCATTGATATGTAATGTCACACTTGGCTCCGAGGCTGGGTTGTTGGATCCATGTAGATGAAATCAGGGAGAGAAAGGGCAGAACGGAGTAATTTAGAAATGTATTGATTTGTATTACTCTCTGTTGGCTTGCTATTCAAGGCAGTGGAGAACTCAATCACATAATAATCTGCAGCAAACCACAGATCATCCCAGGGAATGAAGTTTTAACATTCGCTGGCTCCCTAACTCCTCACCCAGCCTTTACATTCACTGGCTGTTCAGTCCATGCCTGGACATCTTAATTTGAATACAACATTTTAAATCCATTTTTCTGTCATCATCTTGCACTAACAGACAATTCTACACTAAGCCTATGTTTATGAATATTTCTCAAGAGTACATGTACACAGCCTTCAGTATAAGGAAAACTGGAAGTATGACATACCTCCAGTTGTCATACTCCTTGGGCCCCTCTTAAATTCTCATTAAACTGCAGGATAGGCAAGTCAGAGGTGAATCTCAAATACGAAATTCTTACCGGAAAGGGGTTCCAATCCAGACCCCAAGAGAGGGTTCTTAGATTTCTCGCAAGAAATAATTCGGGGCAAGGCCACAGTGCAAAGCAAAAGCAAGTTTATTAGGAAAGTAAAGGAGTAGAGAACAGCTACTCCATGGAGAAGAATGGCTTGAGCTGCTCCACCAAGGGTATTTAGAGTTACTTCTTGATTATATGCTAAACAAGGGGTGGATTATTCATGAGTTTTCCGGGAAAAGGGTGAGCAATTCCCAGAACTGAGATTTCCTCCCCTTTTTAGGCCATATAGGGTAACTTCCTGCCATTGCCATGGTATTTGTAAACTGTCATAGTGCTGGTGGAAGTGTCTCTTAGCTTGCTAATGTATTATAGTTAGCTTATAATGAGCAGTGAGGACAACCAGAGGTCACTTTCATCACCATCTTGGTTTTGGTGGGTTTTGGCCGGCTTCTTTACTGCACCCTATTTTATCAACAAGGTCTTTATGACCTGAATCTTGTGCCAACCTCCTATCTCATCCTGTGACAAAGAATGCCTTAACTTCCTGGGAATGCAGCCCAGTAGGTGTCAGCCTTATTTTACCCAGACCCTATTCAAGATGGAGTTGCTCTGATTTAAACGCCTCTGACAAAATGACGACCTCAAAACAATCCAGCTTTATGGAATACCTCCACAAGAAAGAAAGTATACTTAGCTATAGAATTTTCTCCTTGCATCCAACAGGCTTTGAGATGTCAGATGTTTCCTTCCTGTCCCATGATTAATCCTAGCCATTCCTCTTTCTTGTCTGGCTCCACTACTCCTTACCATCTAATGCCTCGCCACCATTTTGATATTTTGACTAAGTGAGCTATGAAACACACCTACTGGATATGAAAGTATAAGTTTCTGATAACAAAACATCAACATGGGATGTGGAGGAAGTGGGTAGGGTGGCATTAATGCAGCAAATCCTGGAATATTTTAAATCTTCATTCTAAATTTAGTAAAAATATAGGATAATTTTCCTGCCATCATTTACTTATAAAATTAAAATTTTAGAAAATAAAAATAATATTTTCCTCTTTTTAATCACAGATTATGGCCTGTATTGGAGACAGATGAAGTCGTAAGAAGTCTGATAGATGGAATACTTACCAATAAGAAAATGATTTTTGTTCCATCGTATATCAATATCTTTCTGAGACTACAGAAGTAAGTACAGCACAGAACACCCAAATACTAAAACACCAATAGAGCTTTTTTTTTTGCTTTTTTTTTTTTTAGACAGAGTCTCACTCTGTCACCCTGGCTGGATTGCGGTGGTTGCAGTGGCATGATCTTGGCTCACTGCAACCTCCGCCTCCTGGGTTCAAGCAATTCTCATGCCTCAGACCCCCAAGTAACTGGGATTATAGGTGTGTGCTGCCACACTACACCCAGCTAATTTTTGTATTTTTTGATAGAGACAGGTTTCCCCATGTTGGCCAGGCTGGACTCGAACTCCTGACCTCAAGTTATCCTCCTGTCTCGGCCTCCCAAAGTGCTGGGATTACAGTCATGAGCCACCATGCCTGGCCCAATAGAGCTATTATTATGGAGCATCTTTCAGTTGTGAAAATTGGCATGGAAACTCTCCATCCCTGGGGAGAACAGTTATTTCCTCTGTTATTTTCCTACCCAGTCTATAAAAAGAGAGTGATTCATTTTCTCTACCAAATCTACTGTCTCTGCCCAAACTTTGCTGAAGACTATTCTAACTAAAGGAAACACAGTTTAAAAAGAATGCAATATAGTGAAGTAGTTAATAATAAAGACTCCATTTTTAAAAGTCTGCTGGAAGTTTGGTTGGGATTGCACTGAATCTATAGAGCAATTGGGGAGTATTGACATATCAACAATATTGAGTTTTCTAATCCAAGAACATAATATCTATTTTTAAAATCTTCTTCAAAATCTTTAAATCTTTAAATTGTATTTTGTAGTTTTTGGTGTTTAAGTCTTGCACATATTTTGTCAGATTTATTCCAAAGTATTTCACGGGTTCTTTTTTTTTTTTTTTTTTTTTTTTTTGAGACAGAGTTTCACCCTTGTTGCCCAGGCTGGAGTGCAGTGGCGTGATCTTGGCTCACTGCAGCTTCTGCCTCCTGGCTTCAAGTGATTCTCCTGCCTCAGCCTCCCAAGTAGCTGGGATTACAGGCACCTGCCCCCTCGCCCAACTAACTTTTTGTGTTTGTAGTAGAGACAGGGTTTCACCATGTTGGCCAGGCTGGTCTCGAACTCCTGACCTCATGTGATCCACCTGCCTCAGCCTCCCAAAGTGCTGGGATTACAGGCATGAGCCATCATGCCCAGCCCTATTTGACGGTTTTTGACGCTAATGCAAGTGGCATTTTAAAAAATTTTATATTTCCCATTGTTTGTTGTCAGTATATATTGGATTTTTGTAATTTGATCTCATATTTTGCAGTCTTGCTAAATTGCTAAACCTCTTTTTGCTAAACTCGATAAGCTTTTTTTTTTTTGGTAGATTCCTGGGCCTCTAATTTTCTTTATGGGAAAGTTTTTAATTACAAATTTAATTTCTTTAATAGCTACATGGCTATTCAATTTACTTATTAATTCTTGGTAATGTGTGTCTTTCAAGGAATTTGTCCATTTCATCTAAGTTGTAGAATTTCTTTGGCATAAATTTGTACATAACATTCCCTTATTATCCTTTTAATGTCTTTAGAATGTCTTATTTATTTATTTATTTATTTTTATTATATTTTTTTGAGACAGAGTCTCGCTCTGTTGCCCAGGCTGGAGTGCAGTGGCACAATCTTGGCTCACTGCAAGCTCCGCCTTCTGGGTTCATGCCATTCTCCTGCCTCAGCCTCCCTAGTTGCTGGGACTACAGGCGCCTGCAACCATGCCCAGCTTATTTTTTTTTTTTTTTTTTTTTTTTTTTTTTTTTTTTTTTTTTTTTTAGTAGAGACGGGGTTTCACCCTGTTAGCCAGGATGGTCTCGATCTCCTGACCTGGTGATCCGCCCGCCTCAGCCTCCCAAAGTGCTGGGATTACAGGCGTGAGCCACCAAGCCCAGCCTATTTATTTATTTAGTAGAGACAGTCTCACTTTGCTGCCCAGGCAACAAAGGTTTTGAATGCCTGGCCTCAAGCAGTCCTCCTGCCTTGGCCTCCCAAAGTGCTGGGATTACAGGCATGAGCCACTGCACCTGGCCAAATGAATATGCTGATAATATCTTCTTTATAAGGATGACATAAGAATAAAATAATGTAATACAAACAAAGCCCCTGTCACTGAAAATGTATAGACTTCAAATGTTAAAGTCTTAGAGAACAGAATTTATATGAAATAGCAACAGCAACAATTTCCCAGAGGAAATACTCTCTCAGCTTTCTTCTGAGGAGCAGTTTCTAAATTGAAATTGTATCAGTGAGAAGATAACTATACTAACTTCATAAGCCTTGGGCCTTTTTGAAACAAATCCATATAAACTATGAACAAACTTGAAATAGAACAATTTGAGAACAGGGTACAAACTGCATTGGTGTATCAATTTCAGTATTTGGTTTTAGCTTAAATAGACTGACTTGAGATAACATAAGGAGAACCTTGACCCCCAAGCAACATCATCTCGCGAGTTGACTAGGCCGGGTGTGGTGTCTCACGCCTGTAATTCCAGCACTTTGGGAGGCCACAGCAGGCAGATCACTTGAGGTCAGGCATTCGAGACCAGCCTGGCCAACATGGTGAAACCTCAGCTCTACTAAAGATACGAAAATTAGCAGGCATAGTGGCCTGCACCTGTAATACCAGGCACTCGCAGGAGAATCCCTTGAACCCGGAAGGCGGAGATTGCAGTAAACCATGATTGTGCCACTGCACTCCAGCCTGGGCAACAGGAGACTCTGTCTCGGAAAAATAAATTTTTTAAAAAAATGAAAAAAAATAAAAGTTGACTAAATTAGTGTCTTGGTACTAAGCACTGTAGGAAGTGAGTTTCATGGAACCCCAACTCTCTTGGGGCCCAAAGCAAGTCATATTAATATTGAAAATTACATGCATATACATGCATATGACCAAGGTGATAAAAACAATTATTCTGCCTGAGTTGGAGAATAGTATCCCAGTAAAATAAACAAGAGTCTCAAAGTCTTTTGTATCCTTTGAAGCTGTCATGGTGGTTTGTAACTAGGCAACAGGTATATATTGTTAATCTTCTTTGCATTTAATTCCTTTTATAGAGAGACACAATTTTACGAGCAGATGCAATTACTAGCATGAAGGTTTCTTTGTGAGGGTAGTTAAAAGGCCCACATGAGCTCTCTTCTTATCCTTGTCCTTCTTTCAGCCAGATCTTCCCTGCCCCTTTGCTCATTCCATCTTTCACCCACCTACCCCCAAAACAAGGAAGTAAATCTTGCATTAGTCAACAATACCAAAGTGATTTTCAATATGACTTTCTCTGCAGAATGTTATTATTTCTGCCTCTTTACATTCACATACTGTCTTCCTTTTTTTTTTTTTTTTTTTTTTTTTTTTTAGATTGGGTCTCACTCTGTTGCCCAGGCTGGAGTGCAGTGGCTTGATCTCAGCTCACTGTAACCTCCACCTCCTGAGTTCAAGCAATTCTCCTGCCTCAGCCTCCTGAGTAGCTGGGATTACAGGCATGTGCCACCACACCTGGCTAGTTTTTTTGTATTTTTAGTAGAGACAGGGTTTCACCATGTTGGTCAAGCTGGTCTCGAACTCCTGACCTCATGATCTGACCACCTGTGCCTCTCAAAGTGCTGGGATTACAGGCGTGAGCCACCGGGCCAGCCACTCTCTTCCTTTCAGTTGCCTACTCATCTCTTATGCATTCCTGGACATCAGTTGTCCTTTTGAAGCTTTCCTCCACTATCCCAGCCCATGTGAATCCTCCTTCCAGTTATAGCCCTTAATTCTAGATGGCTGATATTTTTCAATAATTGTTTTAAGATGACCATTTTAGCCTATCAGCTAAACAATATCAAAGACAATAGCTATTTTTCAAGTACTTTAGTTTACCTTATTATAGAGTGCATAATAGATATTCAGTAAATAGTAAAGGAGAGGTGAAGGCTTGCATAGAATGGATTCTGGTGGTGTCTCTTGGTGAGCTTTTAGCATCAAGATTAATCAGCAGTTTCAGCAATGAGCTCAGACCTTCAGTTTTAGATCTTTACTCATATCAGATAAGAGAGTGAGAAGAGTGGTATGTATCAGTGCTTTATTTATATTTGCATCCAATTTGAACTATGAATATTACAAAGGTGCACACATAGGTTCAGACAGATTGATTTAAAATGACCAAAGATGACCTGTCGTAAGCAACCTGGGTATCTTAAGATGCACTCCTTGGAGAGGGAATGTTCCTAAAAACATTTTCAGAGGGACGAACTGTATGAAATTCAGTAAAACATAAATCATGAGGAAAACTGATTACTCTCTTTTTGACATGAAATGAGAGTTTTAATGCATGGTTACGATTATTAACGTACTCCGCTGCAAGACGTTAATAAAGTTACTGTTTTGCAGGCTAGAATGTCTTGATGCTGTAATCAGAACACACTTTTTCCCCTTTCTTCCAGCTTCAAATGCAGATTCATAATTGGGCTGACTTCTAATAACTGCAATGTTTTCTGCCTTGGGCTTGCAGCAGAAGCCTGACAAAATAGTGTTTGTTTAGGCAATAATTTATTTATTTATTTATTGAGATGGAGTTTCATTCTTGTCGCCCAGGCTGGAGTGCAATGGCGTGATCTCGGCTCACTGCAACCTCTGTGTTCAGGCAATAATTTAGACTTTACCTTACTTGTGATTACTATAGCAATTACTATAGCCACAAGGCATAATTTTACTGTCTCATTTCAATTTTATGAATTTGAATGTTTTTACACTTTTCCTAATGAAGTCCACTATGAAGTTATGTCAAAAAAAAAAAAGAAAAAGAAAGATGCACACGTAAAAGAGAGGTGGTTGCAAGAGAAGAAAAGAACGGAGGAAAGTTAAACGCAAACCAGATAACTCTCAGCGTATTCTAAATGACCAAAAACAGAACTCTGTTGTCAAAGATTTTAAATGGAAAATTTTTCAATTTTTTTTTCTTTTTTGTACAGGTTTCTTCCTGAACGCGCCTCAGCGATTTTAAATCGTATGCAGAATATTCAATTTGAAGCAGTGGTTGGCCACAAAATCAAAATGAAATGAATAAATAAGCTCCAGCCAGAGATGTATGCATGATAATGATATGAATAGTTTCGAATCAATGCTGCAAAGCTTTATTTCACATTTTTTCAGTCCTGATAATATTAAAAACATTGGTTTGGCACTAGCAGCAGTCAAACGAACAAGATTAATTACCTGTCTTCCTGTTTCTCAAGAATATTTACGTAGTTTTTCATAGGTCTGTTTTTCCTTTCATGCCTCTTAAAAACTTCTGTGCTTACATAAACATACTTAAAAGGTTTTCTTTAAGATATTTTATTTTTCCATTTAAAGGTGGACAAAAGCTACCTCCCTAAAAGTAAATACAAAGAGAACTTATTTACACAGGGAAGGTTTAAGACTGTTCAAGTAGCATTCCAATCTGTAGCCATGCCACAGAATATCAACAAGAACACAGAATGAGTGCACAGCTAAGAGATCAAGTTTCAGCAGGCAGCTTTATCTCAACCTGGACATATTTTAAGATTCAGCATTTGAAAGATTTCCCTAGCCTCTTCCTTTTTCATTAGCCCAAAACGGTGCAACTCTATTCTGGACTTTATTACTTGATTCTGTCTTCTGTATAACTCTGAAGTCCACCAAAAGTGGACCCTCTATATTTCCTCCCTTTTTATAGTCTTATAAGATACATTATGAAAGGTGACCGACTCTATTTTAAATCTCAGAATTTTAAGTTCTAGCCCCATGATAACCTTTTTCTTTGTAATTTATGCTTTCATATATCCTTGGTCCCAGAGATGTTTAGACAATTTTAGGCTCAAAAATTAAAGCTAACACAGGAAAAGGAACTGTACTGGCTATTACATAAGAAACAATGGACCCAAGAGAAGAAAAGGAAGAAAGAAAGGTTTTTTGGTTTTTGTTTTGTTTTGTTTTGTTTTTTGTTTTTTTGAGATGGAGTCTCACTCTTTCGCCCAGGCTGGAGTGCAGTGGTATGATCTCAGCTCACTGCAAGCTCCACCTCCCGGGTTCACGCCATTCTCCTGCCTCAGCCTCCTGAGTAGCTGGGACTACAGGCGCCCGCCACCACACCCGGCTAATTTTTTGTATTTTTTGTAGAGACGGGGTTTCACCATGTTAGCCAAGATGGTCTCGATCTCCTGACCTCGTGATCCACCTGCCTCGGCCTCCCAAAGTGCTGGGATTACGGGTGTGAGCCACCGTGCCCAGCCTTTTTTTTTTTAATAGAAAAAATAATCCGACTCCCACTACATCAAGACTAATCTTGTTTTGTGTGTTTTTCACATGTATTATAGAATGCTTTTGCATGGACTATCCTCTTGTTTTTATTAAAAACAAATGATTTTTTTAAAAGTCACAAAAACAATTCACTAAAAATAAATATGTCATTGTGCTTTAAAAAAATAACCTCTTGTAGTTATAAAATAAAACGTTTGACTTCTAAACTCTGTCTCTATGAGTGTCCTTCAAGAACCAAGGATGTGGATGGTAACAGCTACATCTGGCAGTTATTAAATGAATCCAGGGGTTTTCTCAACTCTGGTTTCTTTGACAGCAGGAGTGCTGGTTTATCAACTGGAACTTACTGACCCCTTTCTATGTGTGAGATTAAGCACAGTGCTATTGTTTCTAATTTTTTTTCTTAGTCACCGGCAATAATTTTTTTCATAACATTCTTTTAATTTCTTGCCTTATAATCAAGAAATTTATGAGTAAAATGTATTATTTTTAAAGTATGGTTACAAAAATTCAAAAGAGAAACATGGAAAGTAAAAAATAGAAGCTTACCCCCAGCAATCCCATTTCCCAGAGGTCACACTGTCAATGCACAATCTTCCAGTCTTTTACTGATGCATGTTCATGACAAATACATTATATTCTTATTGCATGGGTCGTATCAGTAGTTTCATACCATACATTATGTTCTGTAACTTGCTCTTTTAGCTTACCAACTTATCACAAACAGCTGTTTGTTTCAGTATAGAGAATTCAACTTTTTTTCATGAGTACACAGTACTAAAATGGTACTCTAACCATTCCCTTTTGATAGGCACTTAGGATGTTTCCAGTATTTCTTAGTTCATCTATTTAAATATTAATTTAACAAATACTGAGTGCCCTCAAAGTTCTAGGCCCAGGGAAACATATATGAATAAGGCAAACTCCTTGTCTTAACAGAGCTCACATTCTAGTAGGTGGGACAAACAATAAAGGGACTGCAAATATGAGAGAGAGCATTTAAAGTAGTAGAGTCAGGGAAGAGCACGCTGAGAAAGAACATTTTGCGGACGAACTATTACCATACACAGGCAACTAAAAAATATTTTATGATATACATATTGACAAAAATAGAAACCTCTTAAATTCCAGTGTTAAGTTCAGAGCAGAAAACTTCTTATTTTAATTCCATTTTGGTTTTAATCTTTTATGAATGAAGCTCAGAGAAATGTGCGAGCAAAATATTCATCTCTCTTTGTCCATTTTTCTTGCTTATTTTGAGTGTAGTCCTCCTCCTTAAAAGTTCCACCTGCAGCCAGGCGTGGTGACTCATGCTTGTAATCCTAGCACTTTGGGAGGCCAAGGGGGGCAGATCACCTGAGGTCAGGGGTTCGAGACCAGCCTGGCCAACAAGGCGAAACCCTGTCTCTACTAAATATACAAAATTTAGCTGGGCATGGTGGTACATGCCTGTAATCCCAGCTACTCAGGAGGCTGAGGCAGGAGAATCACTTGAACCTGGGAGGCGGAGGTTGCAGTGAGCTAAGATCACGCCACCGCACTCCAGCCTGGGCAACAGAGTGAGACTCCGTCTCAAAAAAATAAAAAGCTCCACCTGAGCTTCCAAATGTTTTCCTATGACAATCTTCATCTATAATTCTCTCTAAGAGCCCTCTCTTTCACCAAAATCCCAGTTCCAAGGGCTACTGCTAGGATGTGCAGATCACCAGACAAATATTTTTTTGCAGGGCTTCTATCTATATAAACACTTTTATTAAAAATGCTTTATAAAATTTATAGGTCCATGTGCATGCAGTATAGTGATTTTTTGATAAAGATTTAGAATAATAGGAAGATTTGTGTATTTATTGTCCGAGCAGTACATGTAAAGATTCTTCTCGGCATCCTGGTACTATCTCTTTGGTCCAGGAATCATTTCTTTTTTATCAAATGAGCCATTCCTAGCTAATTTCATATCTTTTACCACAAGAAAGGGTAGCAATGCTGTTATTATTCATAATGCCATGGCTCTTTGTAATATGTTTGTAATAAAATAATATGAATCTTCACCCCTTTCCAATACCCTGCTACCATTTATTTAATCTTAGCTACATTATGCCTTTTGACATTGCATCATCCATTGTGCTACCCATGAATACTGGGTATCACTCAGAGACAATCACTCAAAGATTGTTACTGGTACAACACAGTTCAATATAGTACAATTGTTACTGGTACAATGTTTGATGATAATCACAAATTCAAGTCTTACCCAGGGTATATATACGAGAAAACATGAATGATTCGTTGTTTATTGCTCATTTTAAATTTATCATTTAGAATGTTATAGCATCACATAGAACAACACATCTTTCAACTGTGTCTTGTCTTGAACTTTTTAGGCCATCATCATTACATTTCTAGAATTGATCTCTGCCACTCCTGACCGTACCCTACCTCCCACACACCACCAGCAGCAGAGAGGGGATTGTGGACAGAACAAAATGAACAGCCCCATTTGCACAAGGAATGTCTGTCCCTCCTCTAGGAGAGCTTAACATTGACCAGGGAGAAGAGAACACAGCATCATCACATCAGTCAGAAAGGCCCACTGTTGTGAAGAAGCAATAGTCTTAAAAGCCCTCAGAAGAGATAAGTGCAGCCACCCCCCAACCCCCAGCCAAAAGGACTGCCTGACCCATGGCATAGAACCTGCAGAGGGGATAGGATGATTTTCCTGAATGCCATTGGCAAGCGGGGTAAGGACATCTGATGTCACCCTGCAGCCCTTGGATGTTATATAGCAGAAGTGGCATCATACTCAGAACAAACTGCGAGTGGATGCATGGGTCAACACATGCGGCTTGGGCAGTGGACCTTAGATAGCTTACAACCCTAAATTAGATCTATGCCCAATGTGAGTGAGAATTATCCAAAATCAGCATGTCAGCATCATTCTGGCAGCCAAATTTCATGTAATCCTGCAAAAGAAATTCTTTGCCAACCAGAAGTAGCAGTCTGCTCTCCAGGCCACCCTCCTGAAACGAAAGCCTGGAAACAAGACCCCAGGATGATCCTATAGTTACAAGTTGCAGAGCTCCCCAGGATATCTGGTCAACCTTATACACAGGGAGAGAAAGGGAGAGTACCCCAGAGAGAAAAAACAGAGCAGGCATCCGAAGAGGACTTGGAAAATTTCATAGAGGGCACTCCAAAGAATAAGGCTCTATGAGGCACAGGACTGGGGTAAGGCCCTCACTTGCTCAGATCTGAGGGTGGTATAGGTACAGCCAATCTTCAACTGTATGCAAAGCTTAAAGGAGTAGCAGAGTAAATGTATGGTTGAAGAGAAAATGCTTGGTTAGTTTCTAATCTAAATCTTATATGATCTATATAATAATGTTTCCAAAGATGGAATGAACATCTAACATTAAAGTTCCCCATTTACACAGGCCATGAGCCCCGAAACACCCATCCCAGGATTGCTGATGGGTGTTTCGGGGCTCATGGCCTGTGTAAATGGGGAAGTTTAAACATGCCCTTGCAGCATGGCTGCCGCATGAGAGGCATGTTGGAAATACAAACTGTTGCAACCCATCTCAAACTTACAAAATCAGAATCTGCATTTTTTAAAAACTCCTAGGTAATTCATATGTTTTAGAGGCATCTTTTTTTATAACACTAACTTTGAATTTAGTGCAGCATTATGTGAACTGGGCTGTTCTGTACATGTGATAATTACAACGAATTTAACAGTTACCCTTGTGTTTATGTCTTCACAAATTACGTGAGAAACCGTAAGGGGGAAATGCCAATCCCTGTCCTAAGAGTGCTCTCACGCTTTCTACTATTTGCTTCCTCTTGTGTCTAAAAGTTTTCAGACAGCTCATGACCTTTTCTATTCAGCTCTTCAAATCTGCCAAGTGTTTTGCTGAAACCCCTTCTTTATCTGATTGGATGTATTACATCTGATCAAATTTGCCTGTCAGCTGCTTGCAGCAAGGGTGGAATTACAGGAAAGTTAAGTGGGAACTTACTTGTATTTAATGGGAATCTTTTATAGTAAAAGTAATCACAGTGAAATCAAAGCAAGTACATTCTGACTTGCCTAGGGTGCAATCATGTCTCATTCAAACTAACTTCACAAACCCAGTGAGCAGCTAGAGAATATTCATAAATTCACATCAAAACACTTATGAAAAGTGAAGTCATTTACCAATTGCACTCCAGTAATGATCCATTATCTCAATAGAGATCTTCTTACTTTTAAATGTGAGGCTAACTTGTATAAATTAAGACTTAAATATTCCCAAACAACACTGAAAACCAAATTGCCTGTTCCCATACCTAATTCCAATAACTAGGATTTTTCACTTTTTTTTTTTTCTTTTTGAGACAGAGTCTCACTTTGTCACCCAGGCTGGAGTGCAGTGGTGTGATCTTGGCTCACTGCAGCCTCCATTTCCCGGGTTCAAGGGATTCTCCAGCCTCAGCCTCCTGAGTACCTGGGTTTATAGGCATGCACCACTACATCCAGCTAATTTTTGTACTTTTAGTAGAGACAGGGTTTCACTATGTTGGCCAGACTGGTCTCGAACTCCTGGCCTCCAGTGATCAGCCCGCCTCGGCCTCCCAAAGTGCTGAGATTATGGGCGTGAGTCACTGCACCCAGCCCTGGATTTTTTGACTTTCTGTTTCTCAACACCTCTTTCCTTCTGATGGCTCTTTACTAATTAGTTCAGACTTCGTTCAATTAATTTGATGCATTTAGTTCTCTACTTCTCTTCCATTGTTCTCTTTCTCTTTTCAGCCTTCTCTTTCTAAGCTTCTCCCCACATTCTAATCTAGTCTGGAAACATAGCCTATTTTTCAGTCATCAAAACTATCCTGTATTACCTATGTAGCAGGAAAAAAAAAAAGACCACTTGATGTTGAATTCAATTTGGAATGATGTGATTTAAATATTTCAAACAATATTGCAGTTCCAGTGTACCTTGTTATCTAACAATATTGCACATTTGAGAGTATTATTTTCTATGCTGGTGAATTTAATGTAGAAATATTCAAGATAAACTACAACAACTCATAGACTTTTTCAAGCCAAAACAAGGCTTTTTCTACAATTCATTCAAGAAAAGATATTCACTCGGCAACTTTGATAGGAAATACATGATGCTAGAATGTAGAAAAATCAGAGAGGAAGATGTGATCCTTGCTTTAAAGATGTTTACAACAGATCAGCTAATCCAGCCTGTTTGTAAATAACAACTCACTCAAAGAAAAATAGGGTTAGTCCCTTTGAAAAGTTACTAACCAAGTGCTTTGTGAATAGACAGCATGATTAATTTGGGTGACAGGGCAAATCTTTGCTGAGGAGATGCAATTAAAGATATTAAAGAGGAGGAGGTGCAAGAATATGCCACAGGGAACAAACATGCATGTTGGTACAAAATGTTTTACAAGTTGTGCGTTTGTAGCATGGTAAGTCATCCAGGGTCAACATGGATCATGCACCTGGGAATCTGGGGGAATAACAGCTTGGAAAAGATGTTTGGGGCCCAACAGTACAGAGTTTCAAAAAACATGTTGACAGATTTGGATTTTATTGAGGCAAGCCATGCAAGAGTAGAGTACATAAAACCAACGAGATCAGATCTGTGGTTGAGAAAGACAAAACTAGCACTGAAGTGGAGGATAGAGCACAGAAGAAAATAGTAAGTTATAAAATAACCAATTTATAAATAAAGATAAATATATGTATGCTATTAAATTTCACAATACAGGCATATATACAGTCACAATATAAAACCATGCAAAATTTCAAATTGCTATAAGTACATTTATCTGAGCCATGTATTTAATAGTTATGTATAGATTATCTATTATTGACCATGGAAAAAGTGAAGTTAACATATTATAGCTGGTATTTATTGATTACTTTCTACCCACCTTTATTTCAGAAAGGATTTCCAGTGCTTACAAGAGTATCTAAAATTATAAAGTGCACAAGTCTTGAGGCAATAAGAGAGTACAGCATAGTGATGAGTTCTCAGATTTTGAACTAAATATAAGGGGGGCAAGATACAATATTAAAATAACCATTGCATGTAAACAGAATTACCATATGATCCAGCAATTTCACTTCCGGGTATATACCCAAAGGAATTGAAAAGAAAACTCAAATAGATATTGGTACACCCACATTCATAGCAGCATTATTCACAGTAGCCAAAAAGTGGAAGTAACCCAAATATCCATCAATGGATGAATGGATAAACAAAATGTGGCATATACATACAGTAGAATACTATCCAGCTTTAAACAAGAGGAAAATTCTGACACCATGCTACAACATGGATGAACCTTGAGGACTTTATGCTAAGTGAAATGAGCTAGTCACAAAAGTACAAAGTATAAATAGTG
Organism: Homo sapiens; assembly: GCF_000001405.40. NCBI lineage: Eukaryota > Metazoa > Chordata > Mammalia > Primates > Hominidae > Homo > Homo sapiens. The sequence continues at coordinate 87,297,597 of NC_000004.12, read as the reverse complement.
TATGATCCCACTCATACGAGGTATCTAGAGTGATCAAATACACAGAGACAGAAAGTAGAATGGTAGTTTCAGGGGCTGAGGGGAATGGAGAATGGGGAGTTATTATTTAATGGGTACAGAGTGTCAGTTTAGGAAGTTGAAAAAGTTGTAGAGATGGATGGTGGTGATGGCTGCAAAATATGAATGTAGTTGATACTACTGAACTTTACACTTAAAAATAGTTAAAATGGTAAACTTTATATTATGTATATTTCACCATAATTTTTTTTTTCAAGACGCAATCCTTTTCTGTCACCCAAGCTGGATTTCAGTGGCACGATCTTGGCTCACTGCAACTTCTATCTCAGGGATTCAATGATTCTCTTGCCTCAGCCTCCCGAGTACCTGGGATTACAGGTGCCTGCCACCATGCCTGGCTAATTTTTTTTGTATTTTTAGTAGAGACAGGGTTTCACCATGTTGGCCAGGCTGGTCTCAAGGTCTCAAACTCCTGACATCAGGGGATCTGCCCATCTTGGCCTCCCAAAGTGCTGGGATTGCAGGCATAGTCACCATGCCTGGCCCATAATTTTTAAACGTTTAAATTTTATTTATTTATTTATTTATTTTAGATAGGGCCTTGCTCTTTTGCCAGGCTGGAGTGCAGTGGCTACATCACAGCTCACAGCAACCTCGACCTCCTAGGCTCAAGCAGTCCTTGCACCTCAGCCTCTTGAGTAGCTGGGACCACAGGTGCACACCACCAAGACCAGCTAATTTTTTGTATTTTTTTTGTAGAGATGAGATCTTGTCATGTTGCCCAGGCTGGTCTCTAACTCCTGGGCTCAAGCCGTCCTCCCATTGACCGTCCAAAGTGCTGGGATTACAGGCCTGAGCCACCAGGCCCTGCCAATGTTTAAATTTTTAAAAAGAACCATACCACCTAAGTTATTCTTAATCTTAATGGCTACATATAATTGTATTATATTCATCTATTGCATTATTTATGATTACATAATTGGTTTGTTTCTATCAACCTTTACTAAGCCCCTTGTACATCTCCAGAGCGATGCTAGGCGGAAACTGGTGATATAAAAAGAATCTTTAAAGGTCCAATGAGAATAGAAATTATATGCTCCATTAATCAATATGATATAAAAGGGATTTAATCCTTTCAAACATTGGCAAACACATATAGAGGGCTTATTATTCTCTGATACACTTTCCTACAAACCTTACATCCATTTACTCATTTAATCATCACAAAAAATCCTGTGAGGTAGGGATTTCAACTGGCTACAATTTAAAGATAAGCAACTGTAAAGTGTCAATACCTTGTCATCCAAGGCCACACAGCCAAGGAATAAATGGTGGAGTTGTCAGTTCAGCTACAGTATCCATGGTCTTAATCATCAGCTAGAAGGCCTCTCATGTGAGGAGGTTGTATTTTTCAGTTCCTCCCAGTTTTTCTCTGACTTCTTTGGCTGATTTTCTCGGTCTCTTTTTTAGAGCTCTCTTGCTTCTCCTGCTCCTTGGATATTGCTGTCCCTCTGATAACGGTTGTAGTGAAACAATGTGTGGCCAGCAGAATTCTAAGATGGCACCAAGACTACTTTTTCCTGGTGTACATGCCCTGCATAATCCCAATGACTGTGAATAGCATGGATTTTGCCCTGGGATGAGGGTATGTTATATGACACAGTTGACTTTTAAAAAGGGAGATTATCGTGGTGAGCCAAACCAAATCACATGAGTTTTTGAAAGCAGAAAATTTTTCTCAGGTTTGTCCCAGGAGAAGTCAGAGAAATGCACTCTGGGAAGGGGAAACTTTTCTGTCTGTTGTCCCCACTACCGCCCCTCGCATCCGTGATTCTGAACCCCATGATAAATCCCCTTTGAACCCTCTTCCTCGTTTTGATGCTGATCCCCCTTTATGGGACTCCAGTTGGCATTATGATAATTCTTCTCAGCCCAGTTATGCCCCTCTACCTCTTTGGCATCCCCGGGCACCTTGGATTGCTTCTTTACAGCAGAGAACATCGGGCGTTGCCACTGCCGCTCCTCTCCCTCAGTATCAATGTAGATTCAGACATTCTGCTTTGTTTACCTCCAGCCTGACTATTCCTATATAGAATTGTGTTAAGCCTTCTTACATGCTGTTAGTGGGAAATATCAAAATTTGGACAAACAATCAAACTGTCCAATGCATTGTCATTTATACACTTGTGTTAACCCCCATTTTGACTCCAGGAAAAGTGTAATGTTGCTTTGAGCTCAAGAAAGAATCTGGATACCAGTAACTTTACCCAGACCTTGGGAATCTTCCCCCTCAGTATATTTAATTAATGAAGTGTTAACAACGAATTCTCAAAAGATCTAAGAGATTTGTTTTCACTTTAATCGCTGTGATCATGGGCCTAATTAGTCACTGCACTGGCCACCACTGCCGGAGTGGCATTACACCGATCTATTCAAACGGCTCATTTTGTTAATGATCGGCAAGCCAATTCCACCCAAATGTGGAATGCTCAACAGGGCATTGGTCAAAAATTAGCTAATCAAATTAATGATTTAAGACAGTCTGTTATTTGGCTTGGAGATCGGCTAATGAGTCTCAAACATCGCATGCAAATGCAGTGCGATTGGAATACTTCTGATTTCTGTATCACACCATATTCCTACGAGATTGATCATTCACGGGAAATGGTCAAAGGACACCTTCTGGGTAGGGAAGATAATTTATCCTTGGACATAACTAAATTAAAGAAACAAATATTTGAAGCCTCTCAAGCTCATTTATCCATTGTGCCTGGAGCTGAGACGTTAGATCAGGTGGCAGAAAGTCTTTATGGACTAAACCCCACAACTTGGATTAAGTCTATTAGGGGCTCCACTGTAGTAACATTGGAATTATGTTTCTCTGTTTAAGTGGCTTGTTTTTAGTGTGCCAGACCAGTCAAAGAATCCTGCATCAAAACTAAGAGAATGAACAAGCCTTCATCGCCATGGCACATTTATATAAAAAGAAAGGGAGAGATGTTGTGGGAAGTCAGGGACCCTGAATGGAAGGACCGGCTGGAGCCATGAGAGAGGAACATAAATTGTGAAGATTTCATTTTAATATGGACATATATCAGTTCCCAAATAATACTTATATAATTTCTTATGCCTGTCTTTACTTTCATGTCTTAATCCTGTTATCTTCATAAGCTGAGGATGTATGTCACCTCAGGACCACTGTGATAATTGTGTTAACTGTACAAATTGATTATAAAACATGTGTGTCTGAACAATATGAAATCAGTGTACCTTGAAAAAGAACAGAATAACAGCGATTTTTATAGAACAAGGGAAGACAACCATAAGGTCGGGAAAAAAGAGCCATATTTTTCTTCTTGCAGAGAGCCTATAAACGGACATGCAAGTAGGAGAGATGTCGCTAAATTCTTTTCCTAGCAAGGAATATTAATATTAATACCCTGGGAAAGGAATGCCTTCCTTGGGGGAGGTCTATAAACGGCCGCTCTGGGAATGTCTGTCCTATGTGGTTGAGATAAGGATTAAGATACACCCTGGTCTCCTGCAGTATCCTCAGGCTTACTAGGGTGGGGAAAAACTCCACCCTGGTAAATTTGTGGTCAGACCAGTTCTCTGCTCTTGAACCCTGTTTTCTGTTGTTTAAGATGTTTATCAAGACAATATGTGCACCACTGAATATAGACCCTTATCGGTAGTTCTGCTTTTGCCTTTTGCCTTGTGATCTTTGTTGGACTCTTACTAGTAGTTCTGCTTTTTGCCTTTTGAATCATGTGTTCTTTGTACCTACTCCCTGTTCTTACACCCCCTCCCCTTTTGAAACCCTTAATAAAAACTTCCTGGTCTAAGACTCAGGCGGGCATCATGGCCCTACCAATATGTGATGTCACCCCCAGCGGCCCAGCTGTAAAATTCCTCTCTTTGTACTATCTCTCTTTATTTCTCAGCTGGCTGACACTTATGGAAAATAGGAAGAACCTATGTTGAAATATTGGGGGTGCGTTCCCCCAATACCTAGGGCATTACTGTACACTACTGTAGACTTTATAAACACTGTACATGTAGGCTACACTAAATTATAAAACTAATTTTTCTTTCTTCAGAAATAAATTAACCTCAGCTTACTCTAACTGTTACCAGTTCAGTCCTGATGAATTAACTGGGAAAGTTCCTTTTTCTTATTGTTTTTCTTTAGTCTATTTATAGACACAACTGCTTAAAGAAATAAGATGGCCTGGGGTGGTGCCAGAGTTTCTTGACCCCTGACCAGATACCAAAGGAAGATCAGAATCCCCCAAACTGGCACAAACTGGAACAGATGACCCCCCTAGTTGCCTTTAGGTCATTAACATATCACTGTAACGCTAAAATTCCCTTCTGTAAAAGAAAATGTCCACCATTTTGTGACATGGATTGTATGAAGACATATGCACGAAATGAGCCTGCGTGTCTGGAGGCTGCGTGCCTACTTAGTCCTTAAAAAACCCATGCCTCTACTGATCGGGAAAAAGCGGCATTGAGAGTGAGAGCCCCTCCTCCATTCCTGGCCAGGAATAAAACCTGCTTGCCTCTTTTCCAACTGGGTGTTATTTTGGTTGATATAAAATAGGAGAAGAACTCAGTTTACTGGTAATGTAACTTTTTTACTTCAGAAACTTTATAATTTTTTTAACTTTTTAACTCTTTTGTAATAACTTTTAGCTTAAAACAAACCCGTTGTACAGCTATACAAAAATATGTTCTTTCTTTATTTTCTTATTCTATAAGCTTTTTCTTTTTTATTTTATTTTTTACTTTTTAAACTTTTGTTAACCACAAAGACACAAGCACACATATCAGCCTAGGCCTACACAGGGTCAGGATCATTGATATCACTGTATTCCCCCTCTGCCGCTTGTCCCCCTGGAAGGTCTGAAGGGGCAGTAATGGGCATGGAGCTGTCACCTCCTATTATAACAGTGCCTTCCTCTGAAAAACCTCTTGACAGACCTGTCTGAGACTGTTTTACAGTTAACTTTTTTTTTATAGTAAAGGAGTACATTTTAATATAATAAAAAAAATAAGTAAAGGAGTACACTTTAAAATAACAATAAAAAGTATAGTGTAGGCCAGCCGTGGTGGCTCACACCTGTAATCCTAGCACTTTGGGAAGCCAAGGCAGGCAGGTCAGGAGTTTGAGACCAGCCTGGCCAACATGGTGAAACCCTGTTTCTACTAAAAATACAAAAATTAGCTGGGTATGGTGGCAGGCACCTGTAATCCCAGCTACTTGGGAGGCTGGGGTAGGAGAATTGCTTGAACCCAGGAGGCAGAGTTTGCAGCGAGCTGAGATCAAGTCACTGCACTCCAGCCTGGGCGACAGAGTGAGACTATCTCAAAAAAAAAAAAAAGTATAGTGTAGTAAATAAATAAACCAGTAACCATAATTTATTATTATCATTATTATTAGGTGTTATATACTACACCTAATTGTATGTGCTATACTTTTATGCCACTGGCAGTGTAGTAGGTTCCTTACACCAGCATCACCCCAAACACGTGAATAATGCGTTACTCTATGACATCTTCATGGCCACGGCATCATTAGGCAATAGGAATTTTTCAGCTCCATTATAATCTTATGGGACCACTGTTGTATATGTGGTCTGTCATTGACTGAAACATCATTATGCAACCTGTAGGGAGACCCCCTGAAACTACTGCTATGGAATAAAAGATGAAATGCTCCTGATTATTGTAAATGCAAAATTGCATGCAGGATTGTATAAAGACAATGCCACATTGGACTGCCAGAATGAGCCAACAGTGCATGATGTGCTTCCCCCTGCAGAGAGCCTATGAATGGATGTGCAGTTAGGGAGGTTTCACATCACCAAGATTCCTATCCCAGAAAAGCAGATGTTCATAGCTCTGGGAATGGAATGCAACCCTCATGGAAAGCCTATAAACGGATGCATGGGGGGCGCCTGTCCATATGGATAAGACAGGGCTATAAACGCCCTCATCTTGCCGCGGCTCTTCTAGGCCTCTTTAGGGTTAAGGCATACTCCCTTCTGAGAATTTCTGGTCTAATCAGTTGTCTGGCTTCAGGTCCTGTTTCCATGGATTGTTTGTAACCAGCCTTTGTTGCAATTGTTACTGCTGATTAGTATCTTGCTAATCATAGTTTATGGAAAGATTGTGTTTCTGCTTTAAGGCTCTGTTAGAAATTACTGATGCACAAACTATATTGTAAATTCTTATCTCTGTATACTGTACTTCTACATACAAATGTACTGTACTTCTACATACAAATGTTATGTTAAAGAATTACTTCATCCCCATGTGACCATCTCACCTCATAATCAAATGACCCTAAATCCCTCACTAACCTACGCCGACCCTCACTAAACTTAATAATAAATGCTGGTACATCCAGTGCATTGTTGGCACCGCGGGACCAGAAGGCGGTGACCCCCCTGGACCCAGCTTTCACTATCTTGTGTGTGTTTATTATTTCTCAACCTGCCGATCCACCTAGGAGCAAAGAGAGAGCCCCGTTGCATTGCGGGCTGCTGGCCAGATCCTGCAATAGCAACCCATGACTATATTTAAGAAATAAAAACTGTCAGGTGCGGTGGTTCATGCCTGTAATCCCAACACTTTGGGAGGCCAAGGCGGGTGGATCACCTGAGGTCAGGAGTTCAAGACCAGCCTGGCTAACATGGTGAAACCCCATCTCTACAAAAATACAAAAATTAGCCAGGCATGATGGTGGGTGCCTGTAATCCCAGCTACTTGGGAGGCTGAGACAGGTGAATCACTTGAACCCAGGAGACGGAGGTTGCAATGAGCTGAGATTGAGCCATTGCATTCCAGCCTGGGTGACAGAGCAAGACTCCATCTCAAGGAAAAAAAATAAAATTAAATTAAACAAATTTCTCTTTTGGTGAACATCTTATAAAATATTTGAGCCAGTTGTGTAAAATAAAACCTAAAAATTTACTCTGTTGGAAAACAAAATTTCAACAAATGTAATAAAAAATCTAATGGGCTTTTATTGGCTATTCATAAATTGGGCAGCATCCCATCTAAAAATAAAGAGAGCTTCCTTGGGCATAGCAGAACCATTGGTTTTTGTAAGGTAGCTTGAGCAGGAACAATGAAACAGAATAATACCAAAAAAAGTGACTTGGTTAACATCAGGTTACTTTGCTTATAAGAATTAAAGCAGAAGAAACTTTCTTATCATGCTCAGGTTGACTGGGCCCTTTCCAATTTGTTGCTGTGAATCTCTTGTTTTTAGAAAAGTTGGTCTATTTAGGGATTTTTCTTCTTCCTTTACGTTTTGATTATGTGGCACTTAACACAAGTGACTCCATTTTGGTTTGGTCTGTTGGGGCCTAGTGCAGGAGCTCAGTCAAAAACAATGGCCTCCTGTAAGTTTTATTTAATGATTCATGTGAAATGTAAATTTTGACAGTTACTTGTAACTATGTCAACAACATTAGGGATTAACCCAAAGGAGTCTAATCCTCACCAATCTTGACACTTCAAGTGATTTGAAGGGAAGAGCCAAGAGGCAGCTCAGCCTGATAGGCTCCCTCTCTATTCTGTCCTCAAGCTCTCCACTTAGCACTCCTAGGTCCTGGTTGCTGATGCATGCTGGTTCCTCTTCTTCTGGTGCTGACAGTTGACCCTGAAGACATTAAAGAAATGGATTAGGAAATAGATTGCAGAAAATGTACAGAATAGGTCATTGGGCTTGTTTTGACTTGAGGCCTTCTAGGTTTTATTTGTTTTGAGAAAAGAAGCCTTCCATCTATTTGCATTTCTACTTCAGGATTGGAAGCAAAGCCTCAGCCACTAACAGAATTTTCCCTGCCTGTTCGCTGTCTTTTATATGGTGAATAAATGGCTAAATGAATGAAAATTATAAATTGTTATATAATAACTTTAAATACATCATCACAAGTTATTATTATAATTCCATGTAATAAACCATTCTATAATGGGGTTACATTTTATTTAGTAAGAGAATAGAATTTGAATCTGAAATTTGTTTCTGAATTAAGTAATTCAAGAAAAAATGACTCATTGAACTCATTTTATTCAATATCACCTAATGGAATATTTTATGCAAGTATTAGGCTAATTGTGAAAAATAAGCAAGTGAACACAATAAAACTTTAGTTCTTGAAAAATATAAAAGCAAATAAGCTTATATAAAATATACATTAACCTCAACATTTTTAACCAAACTTTTTTTTAATTGGGAGGATAGGTCAATTATTAATAGTAGAACAAATAAAATCTGGTGTTAAGTGGTTATTTTCCTTGGTGAAGATGTGTGTTATTAATTTCAAACTTGAATTACAATAAAACAAAAGTCCTTCAAATTTGTCTTTAATGAAGAAATGATTGGCTGCAAAGAGTTGTTTGAATAGAATATGTAACTTTAAGAGGTTCAAGATTATAGTATCAGTCTGTTCAAGACACCATATTCTTGAAGCCTGATGAAAATTTTGGCTCCTTCTCTAAGACAAAAAAGATTATGTAGAAACACATAATTTTGCATATGCAATGAGTAATTGCTAATCTATATGTTTATTTTGAATGACACTCTTGATAAACTAGGAGTCACTTTCCATATGATATAAATATAGGCTCTTTTTATCTGACAGCAACAGACACTTTAAAAAACAGTTCATGGGCCAGGTGCAGTGGCTTACACCTGTAATCCAAGCACTTTGGGAGGCCAAAGCAGGTGGATCACTTGAGTCCAGGAGTTTGAGACCAGCCTGGCCAACATGGTAAAACTCCATCTCTATTAAAAACACAAAAATTAGCCAGGCCTGGTGGCATATGCCTGTAGTCCCAGCTACTCAGGAGGCTGAGGCATAAGAATTGCTTGAGCCTGGGAGACAGAGATTGCAATGAGCTAAAATCATGTCACTGCACTCCAGCCTGGGCGACAGAGTGAGACTCTGTCTCAAAAACAACAACAAGGACAACAACAAACAAAAACAAAAAACCCTCACAGTTCATTAAGAAATGTCTGGAAGGATATATATGCAAAGGTTTCCAATGAATGATAGGATTTGAGGTGATTTTTAAATTTCTTTTTACTGTCATCTCTGCTGTTTGGGTCTTTCCATAATTTGGGATGAAAAAAGGTTAGTTTTTTTTTTCTTTTATTTTGACAGTTAACATTTAAAATATAGAATTTAGGCCAGGCGCAGTGGCTCATGCCTGTAATCCCAGCACTTTGGGAGGCTGAGGCAGGTGGATCACCTGAGGTCACGAGTTTGAGACCATCCTGGCCAACATGGTAAAACCCTGCCTCTACTAAAAATACAAAAATTAGCCAGGTGTGGAGGTGTGCACCTGTAATCCCAGCTACTCAAGAGGCTGAGGCATGAGAATCACTTGAACCTGGGAGGCAGAAGTTGCAGTGAGCTGAGATTGCACCACTGCACTCCAGCGTGGGCAACAGAGTGAGACTCTGTCTCAAAAGATAAATAAAAAAATAAATAAAATATAGAATTTTGATAAGAGAAAAGCTATTTTCATTTTGGATAAAGAATGCTGTGTGATTATTAACAATGTTAGGAAAATTTTATCTGGGACATAGAACTTTTGGTGGGTGTATTAGTCCATTCTCACCCTGCTACAAAGACATACCTAAGACTGGGTAATTAATAAAGAAAAGAGACTTAATTGACTCACAGTTCCACAGGCTGTATGAGGCATGGCTGGGGAGGCCTCAGGAAACCTAAATCATGGCAGAAGGGCAAAGGGGGAGCAAGCACCTCTTCATATAGTGGCAGGAGAGACAGAGCAAAGGGGGAAGTGCTACATACTTTTAAATAAAGAGATCTTGTGAGAACTCACTCACTATCACAGAACAGTAAGGGGGAAATCTGCCCCCATGTTCCAATCACCTCCCACCAGACCCCACCTCCAACACTCAGGATCACAATTCAACATGAAATTTGGGTGGGGAACACAGTGCCAACCATATCATTCTGCCCCTGGCCCCTCCCAAATCTCATGTCCTTCTCACATTTCAAAACACAATAATCTCTTCCCAACAGTCCCCCAAAGTCTTAACTCATTCCAGCATTAACTGAAAAGTCCAAGTCCAAAGTTTTATCTGAGACAAGGCAAGTTCCTTCTGCCTAGGAGCCTGTAAAATCAAAAACAAGTCAGTTACTTCCAAGGTACAATGGAGGTACAGGTGCTGGGCAAATGTTCCTCTTCCAAAAGGGAGAAAATGGCCAAAACAAAGGGGCTACAGCCCCCATGCAAGTCCAAAACCCAGCAGGGCAGTCATTAAATCTTAAAGCCCTGAAATAATCTCCTTTGACTCCAGGTCTCACATCCAGGGCACTCTGATGCAAGGGGTTGGCTCCCAAGGCCTTGGGAAGCTCCACCCCTCTGGCTCTCTAGGGCTTAGCTCCCATGGCTGCTCTCAAAGGCTGATGTTTACTGACTGTGGCTTTTCCAGGTGCATGGTGCAAGCTGTTGGTGGATCTTACTATTCTGGGGTCTGGAGGACAATGGGTCTCTTCTCACAGCTTCACTACGCAGTGCTCCAGTGGGGACTCTGTGTGGGGGTCTAACCTCATATCTCCCCTCTGCATTGCTCTAGTAAAGGGTCTATATGAGAGCTCCACCCCTGCCACAGACTTCTGCCTGGACATCCAGGCATTTCCATATATCCTCTAGAATCTAGGCAGAGGTGCCCAAACCTCAACTCTTGCCTTCTGTGCACCCACAGGCCCAACATCACATGGAAGCCACCAAGGCTTGGGCCTTGCATCCTTTGAAGCAAAGCTTAAGCTGTACCTTGGCCTCTTTTAGCCACAGCTGGAGCTGAAGCAGCTAGGATGCCAGGCACCATGTCCCAAGGCTGCACAAAGCAGCAGGGCCCTGCATCAATGAAATCATTTTTTCCTCCCAGGCCTCTGGGCTTATGATGGCAGGGGCTGCCACAAAGGTCTCTGAAATGCCTGGTGACATTTTCCCCATTGTCTTGGCTATTAACATTTGGCTTCTCTTGAACTTATGCAAATTTTTGCAGCCAGCTTGAATTTCAACCTATACAATGGGGTTTTCTTTTCTACCACATGGTCAGGCTGCAAATTTTCCGAACTTTTATGCTCTGTTTCCCTTTTAAATATAAGCTCTTTTTGCTTATGCAAATGAATATAGGCTTTTAGAAGCAGCCAGGCCACATCTTGAATGCTTTGCTGCTTAAAAATTTCTTCCACCAGATACCCTAAATCATCTCTCATGTTCAAAGTTCCACAGATCCCTAGAGCAGGGCACAATGCTGCCAGTCTCTTTGCTAAAACATAGCAAGGGTGTCCTTTGCTCCAGTTCCCAACAAGTTCCTCATCTCTATCTGAGACCATCTCACCCTGCACTTTATTGTCTATACCACATCAGAATTTTGGTCAAAACCATTTAACAAATCTCTAGGAAATACCAAACTTTCCTTCATCTTCCTGTCTTCTTCTGAGCCCTCTAAGCTATTTCAACCTATGCCCATTACCCAGTTCCAAAACTGCTTCCACATTTTCAGGTATCTTTATAGCAATGCCTCACTTCTCCGGTACCAATTTTCTTTTTTAGTCCATTCTCACACTGCTGTAAGGTCATACCTGAGACTGGGTAATTTATAAAGAAAATAGTTTTAATTGACTCACAGTTCCACAGGCTGTACAGGAGGCATGGCTTGGGAGGCCTCAGGAAATTTACAATCCTGGTGGAGGGGCAAAGGAGAAGCAAGCACATCTTCACATGGCAGCAGGAGAGATGAATGGCAGCAGTATAATGAACCCCATACACCCATCACCCAGCCTCTCCAGTTGTCAACTCTTGGTCAACTAGTTTCATCTATACTTCCATCCAATTCTCACCTCTTCTATTACTTTTTATTGTGGTAAAAAATACATAACATAAAACTTACCATCTGTATTAGTCCATTTTCATGCTGCTGATAGTGACATACCCAAGACTGGACAATTAAAAAAGAAAGAGGTTTAATGGACTTACAGTTCCACGTGGCTGGGGAAGCCTCACAATCATGGTAGAAGGCAAAGAGGTGCAAATCACATCTTACATGGATGGCGGCAGGCAAAGAGAGAGAACTTGTGCAGGGAAACTCCCCCTTATAGAACCATCAGACCTCATGAGACTTACTCACTATCAGGAGAACAACATGGGAAAGACCCACCCCCATGATTCAGTTACCTCCCATCAGGTCCCTCCCACAACACATGGGAATTCAAGATGAGATTTGTTTGGGGAAACAGCCAAACCATACAATTCCAACCCTGGCCCCTCCCAAATCTCATGTCCTCATGTTTTAAAACCAATCATGCCTTCCAACAGTTCCCCAAAGTCTTAACTCATTTCAGCATTAACTCAAAAGTCCACAGTCCCAAGTCTCATCTGAGACAAGGCAATTCCCTTCTGCCTATGAGCCTGTAAAATCAAAAGCAAGTTAGTTACTTCCTAGATACAATAGGGGTACAGGCACTGGATAAATACAGCCATGACAAATGGAGAAACTAGCCAAAACAAAGGGGCTACAAGCCCCATCCAAGTCCAAAATCCAGTAAGGCAGTCAAATCTTAAAGCTCCAAAATGATCTCTTTTGACTCCATGTCTCACATCCAGGGCACTCAGATGCAAAAGGTAGGCTCCCATGGCCTTGAGTGGCTCCACCCCTGTGGCTTTGCAGGGTATAACCCCCCTCCTAGCTGCTTTCACAGGCTAGAATTAAGTGTCTGCGGCTTTTCTAGGCACACGGTGCAAGCTGTAGGTGGATCTACGATTCTGGGGTCTGGAAGATGGTGGCCCTCTTCTCACAGCTCCATTAGGTAGTGCCCCAGTAGGCACCCTTGTGTGGTGGCTCTGACCCCATCATTTCCCTTCTGCATTGCCCTAACAGAAGTTCTCTATAAGGACCCTGCCCCTACAGCAAACTTCTGCCTGAGTATCCAGGCATTTCCATACATCTTCTGAAATCTAGGCAGAGGTTCCCAAACCTCAGTTCTTAACTTCTGTGCACTCACAGGCTCAACACCAAGGCTTGGGGCTTACACCCTCTGAAGCAACAGCCTGAGCTGTACTTTGGCCTCTTTTAGTCACAGCTGGAGTGGCTGGGATGCAGGGCACCAAGTCCCTAAACTGCACACAGCAGAGGGACCCTGGCCCTGGCCCACAAAACCATTTTTTCCTCCTAAACCTTCAGGCCTATGATGAGAGGGTCTGCTGTGAAGACTTCTGACATGCCCTGGAGACATTGTCTTGGGGACTAACATTCAGCTTCTCATTACTTATGAAATTTCTGCAGCCGGCTCGAATTTCTCCTCAGAAAATGGGATTTTCTTGTTTATCAAATTATCAGGCTGCAAATTTTCCATACTTTTATGCTCTATTTCCCTTTCAAAACTGAATGCCTTTAACAGCACCCATGTCACATCTTGAATGCTTTGCTGCTTAGAAATTTCTTCTGCCAGCTACCCTAAATCATCTCTCTCAAGTTCAAAGTTCCAAAAATCTCTAGGAGGAAGGGGCAAAATGCTGCCAGTCTTTTTGCTAAAACATAACAAGGGTCACCTTTGTTCCCATTCCCAACAAATTCCTCATCTCTATCTGAGACCATGTGATGGTTAATACCGAGTGTCAACTTGATTGGGTTGAGGGCTACAAAATATTCAGATATTAAAGATATCTTAATATCTTAAAGATATTATATATTAATATAATATATATTATATATATATTAAAGATATCTTAATATCTTAAAGATTATACCCTGCTAATATAAGTTTTGTCCCTCTAAGAGAACCCTAATACAGACCACCTCAGCCTGGATTTCATTGTCCATATCATTATCAGTATTTTAGTCACAGCCATTCAACAAGTCTCTAGGGAGTTCCAAACTTTCCCACATTTTCCTGTCTTCTTCTGAGCCCTCCAAATTATTCCAACCTTTGCCTGTTACCCAATTCCAAAGCTGCTTCCCATTTTCGGGTATCTTTTCAACAGTGCCCCACTCTACTGGTTCCAGTTTACTGTATTAGTCCATTTTCACACTGCTGATAAAGACATATCTGATCCTGGGCAATTTACAAAAGAAAAAGGTTTAATGGACTTACAGTTCCATGTGGCTGGGGAAGCCTCATAATCATGGTGGGAGGCAAGGAGGAGCAAATCACGTCTTACATGGATGGTGGCAAGCAAAGAGAGAGAGCTGGTGTAGGGAAACTCCGCCTTATAGAACTATCAGATCTCATGAGACATATCCACCATCAGGAGAACAGCACAGGAAAGACTTATCTTCATGATTCTATGTACCTCCCATTGGATCCCTCCCATAACGTGGGAATTCAAGATGATATTTGGGTGGGGACACAGCCAAACCATATCACCACCAACTTAACTGTTTTTAGGTGTACACTGCAGTAGAATTAACTATATGCACATTGCTGTTCAACAGGTCCAGAACTTCTCATCTTACAAAACTGAAACTCTACAGCCACTTAATGCTAATTCTGCCTCCCTCTTTCCCCAATCCCTTGGCACCACCTTCTACTTTTTGTTCTGTGATTTTGTGTACTTTGGATACTTCATAAGAGCAGAATCATACAGTGTTTATCCTTTTTTGACTAATGTATTTCACTTAGCATAAAGTCCTCAAGGTTCATTATGTTACAGCATGTGACAGGATTTCCTTCTTTTTAAAGTTGCAGAATATTCCATTTTATATATTCTACCTTTTTTTACATTCATCTATCAATGTATGTTTGGGTTGATTCTACCTATTATTATTATTATTATTATTATTATTATTATTATTATTTTGAGATGGAGTCTGGCTTTGTCGCCCAGGTTAGAGTGCAGTGGTGTGATCTCAGCTCACTGTAACCTTCGCCTCCTGGGTTCAAGCGATTCTCTTGCCTCAGCCTCCTGAGTAGCTGAGACTACAGTCACGTGCCTCCACGCCTGGCAAATTTTTTGTATTTTTAGTAGAGACAGGATTTCACTGTATTAGCCAGGATTGTCTCAATCTCCTGGCCTTGTGATCTGCCCGCCTCAGCCTCCCAAAGTGCTGGGATTACAGGTGTGAGACACTGTGCCTGGCCCTCTACCTCTTATTATTTGTAAGCAAATCCTACATATCATATTATTGGAAATCTCCTTTATTTCATATTAATCCAATCCAAGTTAGGCCATTTTATATTATCAAGACCCAAAAAAAATATTACATATATCAGGGTAATCATTATGCTACATGATATATAACTGGGCAGAGGGCATGTCTTAGTCCATTTTCTGTTGCTGTAACTGAGTACCCCAGACTGGGTAATTTATAAAGAATAAAGGTTTAATTAGTTTACCAATCCAGAGGCTGAGAAGTCCAAGAACATGGTGCCAATGATATGAATGGGCTGGGGGAGGTCCCCAAATGCTGGTGGGACCCTGACTTCAGCCGGTGTCCAGGTTCTTGACACTGTCACAAGAAAAAATTCAAGGATGAGTCAGAAAATAGTGAAAGATTTACTGCAAAGAGAAAAGTACACATTCAAGAAAGGGGAATTGAGGGTGTACTCAAGAGAGTCAGTAATACAATGAAGTTTGGGGCTTCCACGTTTATGGGGTTCTTTAACCAAGGGCTGGAATATTCATGAAGATTCCTGGAAAAAGATGAAGATTTCTCAGAACTGTGGTGCCACCCATTTTTACCCCAAATATGGGTGTTCCCAGAACTGTCATGGCATCAATGGGTTTGTGAGTGAGTATGTTAATGAGCATATAATGAGGTCCTAGGTGAAATCTAGGTCAAATCCAGTTCCATGTTGGGTCCAGTTGGTCTTAGCCAGCCTGGCCCACATCCTGGGTTTTAGGGTCTTATCAGCCCCTAGCTTCTGCAGCTATTTCAACAGTTTCCTTTTGTTAGTCCTGTGAAACTGATGCTTAGAATTTTCTATTCTGTGACCACCCTGTATTTTTCCTGTCTCACCAGCATCTGGTGGGGGCCTTCCTGCTGGATCACAACATGGTGGGAGGCATCACATGGCAAGACAGAGCAAGCGTGTCAGCTCAGGTCTCTTTTCTTCTTATAAAGCCGCCAGTTCCATCATGAGGGCCCCGTCCTGATGATTTTACCTAATCCTAAGTACTTCCCAAAGGCCCCACCTCCAATAAACATATGAATTTGGGGATTGTGTTTCTAACATGTGAAATTTGGAGGACACACTCAAACTATATCAGGGCATACTCAAAGAAGTGACAAGGCTGATTAATGGGTAAAATGTTCAATTTTTTTAAAATCTAGGGATTTGTTTCATTGTTATTGAAATTCACTGTCTTAGTCAACTCAGGCTGCTATAACACAAATAGCATAGACAACTGGGTGGCTTAAACAACCAACATTTATTTCTCACCATTCTGGAGCTGGGAAATCCGAGATCAAGGCACCAGCAGATCTCGTGTCTGGTGAGAGCCCACTTCCTGGTTTGCTGGTGGCTGTTTTCTCCTTGTAGCCTCACATGGCAGAGAGGAGAGACGCAAACTCTCTCATATGTCTTCTTTTAGGGACACTAGTCCCATTCATGTGGGCTCCATTCTTATGTTCTCAGTACCCACCACCCCACAAAGTCCCCACCCCCTAATACCACCACCTTAGAGGATAGGGTTTCACCATAAGACTTTGGAAGGAAACACATCCAGTCTATAACACCAGCTCATCTTTCCCAAGTTAAGAGGAAACAAACTCCCCCATTCAAGCACTAAAACTGGATAATCTTAGAGACTGCCTTTATGTGACAACTTCAGATTTTCAGTAGCATCAAAGTGTCTTAGTGTTTGCCCTAAGACTTCAAACAACTCAGATGCTCTGCACATTTTAGGAAAAAAATTTTATATCAAAAACTATATGTTATTAACTACATCTTACTACAAAACTAGTTTGCATATTTTAAAATCAGTGGCACAATTGGCAAATTTGAATAAGGTCTGTAGATTAGTTATAACATAATAACAATGTTAGTTTACCAGTTTTAATAATTGTACCATAGTTTCTGTAAGTTGTCACCATTTGGAGAAACTGGTGAAGGCTATACTTGTACTATTTTTGCCGCAGCTTTATACATTTGAAATTATTTCAAAATGAAATATTTTTGGATTAAACTTTTTTTTCTGTGAGTGCTAATTTCTCTATATGTAATTGGCATCTTTCGAGTAAAACTTACAACTTTGCCCTTTTAAAATCCTTAATTTGATGGAAATCACATACTATGGGAAGGTAAAAATAAAGAGTGATAATCTCAGTTATTCTATATCTGAGCAAGAATCAGGGAATGCTGGGAACTTCCTGCCCAGAGACCCAGCTAACTTTCTTCTTCTTTTTCTTTTTTTCTTTTTTAGAGATGGGGTCTCACTGTGTCACCCAGATGAATGCAGTTGTGTGATCATAGCTCATTGTCACTTCAAACTCCTGAGCTCAAGCAATCCTCCTAGCTCTCTGCCTCCCTAGTAGCTGCGACTATAGGCACACACCACTCTTGGCTAAAGTGCTGAGATTACGAGCATGAACCACCATGCCTGGCCTTGACAGTCTTAATAATTTTGAACAAAGGGTCCACATTTTCATTTTGCACAGGGCCCAAATTAGGTAGCTGATCCTGGCTGAAGGCACCTTCAGTACCTATAAGGTCTCATCCAGGATAAGATTTTATAGACACTACAGCCTTAAATGCCTAAATCCCTGCCACAGTCCCAGTCCCTTTAAGCTGGAAAGCGAGACTCCAGCCTCAAGGTTGTTTATCATTTACCTAAAAAGTCCTTAGTGAATGTTAGTTCCCATCCATTTCCCTCATTCTTCCTCTCTCTCCTTCCCATTTTCCATCCTTCCTTTCCCTTTTCTTTTCCATCTTATTCTCCTTTCTTCTTCCATTTCTTCCCCTTCTAGTTCTCCCACCACCTAACCTATTTTTCCCGCCTCATTCTGCCTCTCCTCCCCTATTTCTGATGTTTCAAATTCCCAGTCCTTTCTTCCATCCCTCCTTCCCTTTCTATCCTACCCATACCCACCCATATTCCCTGTTCAGGGTGAGGCCTTTGAGAGCTGGTGCCCCAGGAGCTAGTGTGGCCAGAGACAATAAGTCTCGGTGCTTCAACTAATGCCAACTCTAAGATCCCAGAATGACCAAACTTGGGCTACTTTGGTCATGCAGAGATGGAATCAATTACTGTCTCTTGACTTTTCCAATCTACATTTCAAATTTTTATTCCCTACTTTCTGTTCATTTCAGATTGAATCCAAGAAAAATCCACCCTTGGGTGTCTTGAAGAGCAATTTACCTCTTTCAAATGAGCTGAAGGCTGGGTGCAGTGGCTCACACCTGTAATCCCAACATTTTGGGATGACAAGGGAAGAAGATTGCTTGGGCCCAAGAGATCAAAATTGGCCTGGACAACATAGCAAGACCTTGTCTCTAAAAAAAATAAAAAAATTAGCCAGGTATGGTCGTGTGCCACTGTAGTCCAAGCTACTTAGGAAGCTGAGGTGGGAGGATCACTTGAACCTGAGAGGTCAAGGCTGCAGTGACTTATCATGGCGCCATTGCATTCAAATGTAGGCAACAGAGTGAGACCCCTGCCAAAAAAAAAAAAGAAAAGAAAGAAAAAAATGAAACAAAGAAAGAAAGAAAAGAAAAGAAAAATAAGAAATGATTTGAAAATAGATCTGAGGGAAAGGAAATAGACTGGAGATCTCTCAAACTCCTGAAGTCTTGCAAATTTGGAGAAGGCAAGGTTACTCTGTAGTCTATCCTGTCAGCATAAGACCTTAAGTGTGCTTATTCATGCTTACATAACGTATCACCAGAGGTGGCTGCATCTCGTTAGGGTCTCCATGCTCTTCATAGGAGGTGCTGTCCTCTTTTTTCAGAACCTTGCTAAACAGCAGAAAGGTAAGGATTATAAATCTTTGCTGGCAAAGCTCAAACAAAAACAAACAAAACCCATGTGGGGGCAGTGCAAAATCCAATGGCAGCAGCAGCTCTTTATTTGCCCAAGCCCCTGCCCATGTGGGAGTCTGGTGATTTCGGTGTGAAGAACTTTGATCCCTTTCAGTAAAATCAAAACACATTGGACAGAGGTGTCATCTGGGTTCACACAAAGGAATATCTTTTCTTAGTTCAGACAGAGTGGGAAATGAGCTCATCAGAGTAGGTTCTGGAAAAGAAATCATATTATTTTCATGGCAGGATGCATGGGAAAAGGAAAAGACCCCTCAATATTGTTTGTTTTATTTATTTTTACAGAACAGTGGTTTTCTAGAAGCAGAGAAATTGTTGTGGGATAAAGAGAGAGAATAATCACTTTGTTGGATCAGGTGACAAAAAATGTTTTGCCAAGTTAAGTAAAGCGTGAGTAGCCTTTGGGGTACAGTGGCTCATGCTTGTACATCCAGCACTTTAAGAGGCTGAGGAAGGGAGATCGCTCGAGCTCAGGAGTTTGAGACCAGCCTGGGCAATATGGACCCTGTCTCCACAATTTTTTTTTTTAATTAGCTGAATGTGGTGGTATGCACCTATAGCCCCAGCTACTCAGGAGGTTGAGGTAGGAGGATGGCTTGAGCCCAGGAGTTTGAGACCCGAGTGAGCTATGATTGCACCACTACACTCCAGCCTGGGCAATGAAAGGAGATCCTGTCTCAAAAAAAAATTGAAAAGTATGAGTAGCCTGACAATTTGTTAGGGTAACATAAACTGCTGTAAGAAATAAATCCAAAATTTCTAATGTTAATTAGCAAAATGAAAGTTTTTTTCTTACTCATATAAAGGACCAATGCAGGGATGCCTTGTCACTCAGTAGCTTCCATAATGATTCTGCAGGGCAGGGTCTTTCCTTCTTCTAAATCAACTGCTTTCTCGGGCCGCGGAGTCCTCTGAAGTAAATGGTATAAGAGAGAATGAAGAAGCCTCACCTACTTCTTAAAAACCATCAGCCCGGCCAGGTGCAGTGGCTCATGCCTGTAATCCCAGCAGTTTGGGGGGCCAAGGCAGGCAAGTCACTTGAGGCCAGGAGTTTGAGACCAGCCTGGCCAACATGGTAAAACCCTATCTCTTCTAAAATACAAAAATTAGCCAGGCGTGGTGATGCACGCCTGTAATCCCAGCTGCTCAGGAGACTGAAACACGAGAATTGCTTGAACCTGACAGGTAGAGTTGCAGTGAGCAGAGATCACGCCACTGCACTCCAGCCTGGGCAACGGAGCGAGACTCTGCCTCAAAACAAACAAACGGCTAGGCATGGTGGTTCACGCCTGTAATCCCAGCACTTTGGGAGGACAAGGCTGGGGGATCACGAGGTCAGGAGATCGAGACCATCCTGGCTAACATGGTGAAACCCCGTCTCTACTAAAAACACAAAAAATTAGCCGGGTGTGGTAGCACGCACCTGTAGTCCCAGCCACTTGAGAGGCCGAGGCAGAAGACTCGCTTGAACCAGGGAGGTAGAAGTTGCAGTGAGCCGAGATTGTGCCACTGTACTCCAACCTGGGTGACAGAGTGAGACTCCATCTCAAAAACAAAAAACAAAACAAAAAACAACAAAACAACAAAAAAACCATCAGCCCAGACCAAATGTCCATTGATGGATGAGTGATAAATGAAACGTGGTCTATCCACACAATGGAACAAGATGTAGCCTGAAAAAGGAAGGAAATTCTGACACTTGCTGACATCGGTGAACCTTGAAGACATGCTAAGTGAAAGAAGCCAGACACAAAAGGACAAATACAGTATGATTCCATTTACATCAAGTACCTGAGATAGTCACATCTATGGAGACAGAAAATAGAAGAATAGTTACCAAGGCTTGTGGGGAGCAGGGAATGAGAAGCTTTTTTTTTTTTTTAATTATACTTTAAGTTCTGGGATACATGTGCAAAACGTGCAGGTCTGTTACATAGGTGTACACGTGCCATGGTGGTTTGCTGCACCCATCAACCTGTCATCTACATTAGGTATTTCTCCTAATGCTATCCCTCTCCTAGCCCCCTATCCCCTGACAGGCCCCAGTGTGTGATGTTCCCCTCCCTGTGTCCATGTGTTCTCATTGTTCCACTCCCACTTATGAGTGAAAACATGCAGTGTTTGGTTTTCTGTTCCTGTGTTAGTTTGCCGAGATGATGGTTTCCAGCTTCATCCATGTCCCTGCAAAGGACATGAAAGTTTTAAAATGAGTACTGAGTTCCAGTTGGAATGATGACAGAGTTCTAGAGACAGTGGTGATGCTTGCACAACAATGTGCCTGCCTCGGCCTCCCGAAGTGCTGAGATTACAGGCGTGAGCCACCGCACCTGGCCAAAAGATGTACCTTCTGACAAAAAATTTAAAAAATTAGCCATGACCCGGGTGTGGTGGCTTACGCCTGTAATCCCAGCATTTTGGGAGGCGGAGGCAGGTGGATCACTTGAGGTCAGGAGTTTGAGACCAGCCTGGCCAACATGGGGGAACTCTGTCTCTACTAAAAGTACAAAAATTAGCCAGCCATGGTGGCGTGCACCTGTAATCCCAGCTACTCAGGAGGCTGAGGCAGGAGAATCACTTGAACCCAGGAGGCGGAGGTTGCAATGAGCTGAGATCACGCCACCGCACTCCAGCCTGGGTGACATAGTGAGACTCCATCTTAAAAAAAAAAAAAAAATGAATGTACTTAATTTTCCTGAACTGAACTGTAAAGTTAAAAAATGGTTAAAAGGTTACATTTTATGTTATGTATATTTTACCAAAAATTTTTGTTTAAAACCCCAAACCCAGAATTAGTGGAGAGGGTCTGGGAATAAACTACCTTTGTCTGGGCAGCAGATTCTCAGTAGTAATTCCATACTGTGCAGCATGAGGTTTTGGTGGACATCTAGCCTTTCTACCACAGCCAGGAATGGTAAGAGGAAGGCACTGAGTGGGGATCCTCACGCACCCCTACTCAAATAAAATATATCATGGTCAATATTTGCTTTCAATGTTAATAGCCTATTCTTACCTGTTTGGATAAGTTATTTATATAGCTAATATTTACTGAGCCCTTAAAATGCCCCAACCAGTGCTATAAATGTCCTGTATATATTATTTAACCGTATGAGGTAGATACTTTTATTGTCTCTACTTTAAGATAAAAGACCTAAGGCACAGAGAAATTCTATAACTAGGCCAAGACTGAATGACATAGCCAGGATTAGACAGACCCACAGTCTAATTCTAGAGTCCATATGCTTAACCACAATGCCATATTGCCTTCTGGGAAGCTGTAGTGCATTGTGACTTATTCATGATATATTTGGCTAAGACCGTGGCTCAGCTGTTTTTAATACAAGCTTACACAAAAGAAAAGTTTTAGTTTTCTGTCATTTAGTGTAAGCTATTAGGTGGCCCCAGAGAAGAGGCCAGCACTGCTCTGTGGGATCATTTAGGGACCCAAACTCTTTCTATCTTGTTGCTCCATCTTTGTGTAGGGTGTGCCCCTTGTCCACCAGCACACCCCTTGTTCTAGTCCAAAGGAAGTGGGAAAGAGGAAGTGGAGGGCAAGCAGCTTTCTTCTAAGCACAGGTGACCCTTGAACAACAAGGATTTGAACTGCATGTGTCCACTTAGACCATGGATTTTATTCTGCCTCTACCACCCCTGAGACAGCAAGACTGACCCTTACTCTTCCTCCTCCTCCTCAACCTATTCAACATAAAGATGACTAGGATGAAGACCTTTCAATGATTCACTTCCACTTGAAAAACAGCAAATGTATTTTCTCTTCCTTATTTTCTTAATAACATTTTCTTTTTCCTAGCTTACTTCATTGTAAGAATACAGTATATAACAAATATAATATACAAAATATGTGTTAATTGTTCATGTTATTAGTAAGGCTTCAGTCAACAGTAGGCTATTAGTAGTTAAGTTTGGGGAGAGTCAAAAGCTATATTTAGATTTTAAACTGTGCAGGAGGCTAGTACCCTTAACCCTCTTGTTCAAGGGTCCACTGTACACAACCTGGAATTTGCACACATTTCCACACCAGCCTTAACTTAGTCACATGGTCACACCTAGCTGTGACAAGACCTGGGAATGTAGTATCTAGCTAGGAATCCATGTATACATTTGCAATTCAGGGGAGACTTGATATTAGCAATCTGCCATGCATGGGCATCACAGAAAGATCATGTGTCTAATTGTCAGGCCACATGTAGTAGCAGGAAACCAAAGATGGATAGTTATTAAAAAGAATGTGTAGAAAAACCAATTTGGAAAATGTGTAGGTCATTTAGAGAATAAGGCGAAAAATAGCCTGTAGAAATGGGTAAGCACAGCTTGGTAGTGGGATGAGCCCTGATTTTGAATTCCAAAATACTCAGATTCTAAATTTGGCTCTGCCCCTACTAGTGTGTGAGCTTGAGCAATTAACTTCTCTCAACTTCAGTTTCCTCATCTATAAAACAAAATTGACTGTAATACTTATTTTCAGAATGATTTTGGCAAATAATAAGATGAAGCATGTGATGTCTAAAACATATGTCAAGTTTAACATTTCCAAAACCAAACTCTCAATATTATTTCCCAAACCTGTTTTTCTCATAGTCTTCTTTATCACAGTAGTTGGCAACTCCATCTTTCTGACTTCTCCGACTAAAATCCTTGGAGTAATCATTGACTGTCACTCTTCATCTTCATATCTAAACCATCAGCAAATCCCCTCCACCATTCTTGCAAACTATGACCAGAATTCAATCACTTCCCACCATTGGTCCTGCTACTTGCCTGATCCAAATCATTTTGCTCTGCCTGGAAGGTTGCAATAGCCTAAGTGTTCTCCTGCTTCTTCTTGAGCTTCCTGCAGTATTCCCCACATGGCAGTGTCATCTTTTTAAGTATAAAACTTACCGGCCGGGCACAGTGGCTCATGCCTGTAATACCGGCACATTGAAATACTGACAGATTGAGAGGCTGAGGCAGGTGGATCACTTGAGCCCAGGACTTTGAGACCAGCCTGGGCAACAAACAGAGTGAGACGCCTCATCTCTACAAAAAATAAACAAAATTAGCCAGGTGTGGTGGTGCGCACCTGAGGTCCTACCTACTCTGGAGGCTGAGGTGGGAGGATCGCTTGAGCCTGGGAGGTAGAGGCTGCAGTGAGCCGAGATTGTACCACCGAAGTTAAGCCTAGGTGACAGAGCAAGATCCTGTCTCAAAAAAACAAACAAATGAAAAGACTTATAATGCTTAGGGCCCTTCTCTTTTGTCTCCCTTAGAGTAAAGCCCTTCACAATCTGATCCGTTGTTAACTCTCTGACCTCATCTCTTATTAGTCTCACATTTGTTCAATTCCAGCAGAGCCTAGAGATCACAGGTTTTAGAGAAGCAGCTGTGAAATAAGGCTGGGATGCATGTATCATTATAATTCTCTAGCCAAGTGAGACCGAATCCACAGCAGGAAAAGAAGGAAAAAGAAGTCTGAAGCATTTCAGTGTCCGAAAGGATTCTTTTGAAAGGACATAAAGGTGTATAGGGAGTAGCTGGGATTACAGGTGCGCCACCACGCCCAGCTAATTTTTGTATTTTTAGTAGAGACGGGGTTTCACCATGTTGGCCAGGCTGGTCTCGAACTCCTGACCTCAAGTGTTCCACCCACCTCGGCCTCCTAAAGTGCTGGGATTACAGGCATGAGCCACCGCGCCCAGCCTGTTTACTTATTTTGTGGTTCTCTCCTTTCCATGAGAATGTAAGCTCCAAGAGAACAAGCACCCTCCTATTTACCACTGTATCCACAGCACCTGATACAGTGCCTGACTGCCATTTGACACATATTTCTTGAGTAAATGCAGCAAGATAGTTGTGTGGTGTAAGCCACTATAACGTGAATGATAAAATGCTATTCTATTAGTAACACTAATAACTTAAATAGCACTAATCACTGCAACAGGTAACTCCCTAGATCCTGGTGGTTACAGAATAACATTTTATCATTCACATGAAGTCTGAAACCTTCAACATGGCCATTCAGGGAATTATGCTACTTCCCTATGTCCTCTGGATTCAGGTAGCAGAAGGGAAAAAGGAATGGAGGATCACACATGGAGGCTTTTGTGCTAAGCTTAGAAGTATATAACTTCCTCTTGCACTCTTGGGAACTCGGGCACTTCTGATTTTTGTGTACCTAGGAAGACAAGTGTTCTATTCACTATTGTGCCAACTAATCACCCCAAAATTTAGTGGCTTAAAACAATCATAATTTGTCTGTCACGGTTTCTGTGGGCCAGGAATTTGGAGAGGGCTCAACTGAGCTTTTCTGGCTCATGGTTTCTCATGGATTTGCACAATGACAGAAGCTGCATGGGTCTGGAGCCTGTGGGGACTAGAGCATCTGAGTGCTGCTGGATGGCTCTCCTCACGTAGACTTAGGGGCTTCCCTCCCAGGGGCTAGTTTGACCTTCCTCACAATATAGCACCTCAGGGCAGTCACACTGCTTACGGAGTGACTTAGGAGTCCCACAAATGTTTCATCAAAGATAAAAGTTGTGTCACCTTTTTTTACCTACCCTGGGAAGTCATGTAGCATCATTTCTGCTGTATTCTACTGGCTGAAACTGTCCCCAAAGCCTGCTCACTTTCAAGGGAAGGAGATAGAGCCTCCATCTCTTGATAGATGGAAGCTAAAGCTATATTATAAGAAGAATATGCAGGATGGGTAATGTTCTGGTCTTCTCTGGAAAATACAATCTTCCACAAGGAGGAAAGAAATTAGTGATCAACTAGCTAGTTGCCACACAGAAAGTGCAATAAGTATTTGATGATGCATTTTTTGACCTCATAGAAATGTGGCAAGATTAACAATATGTTTGCAAATTAGTAAAGGTCTCCTTGCTTTAATTCAATTCTACAATATTAAATTGAGTTCTATAGCATCCCAGCCTTCCACTACCATAATACAGAGGAATACCAAAACCAAAACAAACTAAAAAACTAACTACCTTGTAGGAAATTACATTCTATAGAACACTTACCAGCTTACTCCTGAATTTAGCAGATTTGCTATAAGTTTGATGATATGAAAATTTATATCAAGAGGTATTTTACAGAGCTATTAAGAATTGTGGGAAATTTTGTCCATCAGTTCAAAGAAAAATAAGCAAACGGGGAAAAATGAGGCAATTATTACCTTTAAGAGAAACAGAAACTGTACAATAAACTAGAATTATGATGCATTATCTGCCTCAGTTATAAGCAAAACTTACATAATCATGACAATGAAAACAGTGAATATGGATTTAACCCAAATTGAAATAGAATTATACTGGAGGGGAGAAAAACAGGCAGAGGCTGTGGAAGGAAGCTAAAATCCTTACCTGTCATACTGGACGTGGTAGCAGGCAAGCGAACGCCCCCTCTCAGACCTCCAACTGCAGGGAGCAAAATAGACCAGCGAGCCCAGTTGCTGCACTCTGAAATTCAGTGCATTCATGCTGCCCGTGGGCTGCTTTCAGCCAATTACTGACAGTGAAACAGATGCTAAGTAAGGCCCATTCCCGGGGGTTGGGGATCCCTCCTATGGGTGACTGTGGTTCGAGGACTTTCTAATGGCCTTGCTGTCCTTTCCTTAGATGGTACTGTAGTCTAAGGTGATTCCCCATACCTTTTCTCCTGTCCCCTCTCTCCTGCACTGGGTAAGACCCACATGGCAGTCTGGGAACTCTCACAGTCTTCTCCCAGTTTCCTCTCCATGATCTCTACAGGCGTTTCTCCTGATACATTTTCCACCTTTGTGTCTGCCTTTTGGAGAATCTGGACTAACACAGAAGTCAACTGATAATATCTAAAATTGATGAATCAAAAGATGGCTGTATATGTGCTTTTTTCCTTGAAATATGCATGTAAATATCCAAAGACATGGCTAAGAGAGGTGAAATGGTGGAGGGCACATATATTTTAAAGTCTTTAGCACTACTTGACTTTTTAATATATATGCACATATTAATTATTTTTAAATAAATTGTTTAAAAAGTGAAAGACCACTGCCTTAGACATTGGCCGCTTTGGTTTATCGAGGGAAATCAAGTTTTATCTAAACTTTATCATCTGTATTCTAGCAGACAATCGGTCTACACAATGACTCCTTTCTTTTTCTTTTTGAGGATCAGTGGCAACAGCCTGATTCATTAAACTCCTTGCAGACAGCTCCTCCCAGAGGGAGCAAAATGATCTGCCATCTAAGCACCCACTCAGATGAAAGCATTACTGACAATGCCTTTGAGTTGTTGTTTCTATGTTTAATATACATAGAAGAAAAATTTTTAGAGATGCTGTTTTTTCCCTCCTCTTGTTTTCACTTCAGATAGACAAGCCCCTAGTATTACTTTGTCTTGGGAGATTTTTGCAAATGCTGCCATCACAAGTGGTTTAAATTCTCAAAAATTTCACAAGAACTTTCAAACAAAATCTAGGAGGGTACCTTTTCATACTTATAACAAATGTCTTATATGCTAGGACAGCTTACTGAGACATTACATTTTAATATCTTAAAATGAAAATAATACTAATCACCTAGTTCATGATAGTTGAAGAGTATTTTCTATGCTATGCTCATATCTTTATGAAAAAGCAACCTAATCCTAAATCCTTTGAATTTTTCATTTAAAATGTAGTGGGCAATTCTTGTAAATTGATATATTAAAACATAAACTTACCACCATTCCTCTCATAACTCCTCTAAAATATTAATGAAGCAAACTTTAAAAGGTATAAAGTCATAGGATTGAAAAAAAGGCTATAGCAGAGTGATTGCAGAAGAGCCAGAGAGAAAGAGAGAGAGAGAGAGAAGCTGATAGCTTACTTGATACATAGGTATAACTTAAGGAGAGGTTTACCCTGCTATCAAGACTTATGAATGGGCTGGGTGCCATGGCTCATGCCTGTAATCCCAGCACTTTGGGAGGCCAAGGTGGGAGGATCAAGGCCAGGAGTTTGAGATCAGCCTGGGCAACATAAAGAGACCTCATCTCTACAAAAATTAAAAATAATTTAAAAATATTAGCCAGGTGTGATAGAATGTACCTGTAGTCCCAGCTACGTGGGATGGTGAGGCAGGAGGATTGCTTGAACCCAGGAGTTAAAGGCTGCAGTGAGCTATGATCATACCACTGCACTCCAGCCTTGGCAACAGAGAGAGAAAGAAAAGAAAAAAAGAGTTATGAATGAATAAAGAATCAGCAGATCAAAAAGAATAAGCTTTTAAAAAGACCATTAACTCGGGAAAAAAATGTACAGAAAAGAAAATATAGGATGATATATGTCTCACTTGTAAATAATGCTTATATAGTCATAAAATGTAAACTGTGAGTGTTTATTAAGTAAAAAAATCCTGTAGCTATATTGGGAGGATAGAGGGTAGAAGATGGCAAGTTTGGAGTGGAGCCTTTGGAAGTGCAAGATGGTTAAGTTACAGGAAGCAATGTGGAATACATAAAATTCAAAAAAATAAGAAATAGTATGAACATGTTATTAGACATTCGGAAATAAATACCTGAAGACCCAGTTGAAGCAAGTAAATGTTTATTCTGAGAAGAATGATGGTGGGGATGAATGTGGCAGGGGATACTGGTTTTCATTAAAAAGCCTTGTTAAACATTTATGATTTTTTCATCTGAGTTTATGTATTTCTCTGATAAAAGTTTAAACTATAAAAAGATAGATGCTTAGAAATTGATACTACTTAGTGCACTTGTCAAATATAAAATATAAAGGTATAAAAAGAATTGCTCACCACATCTGTTTTATTCAACAAAGACAAAGGAAGAGGAGGGGCAGGAGGGGGGGGAGAAGGGGACTGTTCTCGTTAGTGCGGGCACCCTTCTCAATCTGAATCTGAAGGAGGAAGAAAGAAATAAGTCACCCATGAAAATAAGTACTAGTCCATGACCCTGGAACAAAAAGAAATCAGGAAGGGTCTAAAGCGATTTAGGCGGTGAGTCTACAGTCAATCATTAAATAGGCCGAAAGTTCTGATCTGCCCCCTGTTCACCATTTCTCACTTTTTTGAAAGTCATGTTTGGAAGGCAACTCTTGAGTCCTGTGGCAGTAGGATCCTAGTCATATTATTTTTCCTTCCTAGGAAGTAATATAAAATTCAGTGTCAAAGGAAGTAAAAGGAAACAATGTTAAATATTTGTCAAGTATTGAAAACAGAGAGTGTGTGTGTGTGTGCAAGTACTAAACAGAATGTCTTTGATGTAGTCATTTTTATTATATTATTATATAAACCTTGGGCAAATGTGAAGTCCCATCTGGGATAGATTTAATACCAGACCAGGAAAATAGCTCAATAAATTCCCTAAGCATTTGGAAGAAAAAAGTATTCCTTAAATCCCTTCATTTAAATCTTCACAAAATTAGTAAAACACAATGATTCTCCAAGACAGAGAAATAATGGGATAAACAAAAGAACAGAACCTCCTTTGCTGCCCTCAAAGATTGATGATACAATAAAGATGAAAAAAATTTATTACCTTATATTCCATTCTTGGCTGTGCACTCCATTAATGGTTTGTTCTCTTTTCACTTACTAAAATCGTGCTTAATAATGTGTATCAAATGGAAATTTTCTTTCAAAGGACATGCAATGTCCTCTACTGGAACGTATGAGACCTTCAGGGCTTCCAACTGCCTTTGTAGCAAAGAAGGAAAAATAGCAACAATGATTAAATAGACTTTCTCCTTCTTCTCCTTCCTCCTCTTCTTCCTTTTCCTCTTCCTTCTCCTTTTCCCTTTCTTCCTCTTCCTTCTTTTCTTTTCTTTTCTCCTTTTTTTTTTTTTTGAGAGACAGGGTCTTGCCGTGTTGTCCAGGCTGGTCTTGAACTCCTGGTCTCAAGCAATCCTCCAGCCCCAGCCTCCCAAAGTGCTAAGATTACAGGCATGAGCCACTGCGCCTGGCCTCCTCTTTCTTTTCAATCTCCTTAAAGGATAAGTAGATAAACAGGAATAAGAAGGAGAAGGGAGATGGAGAGGAAAGAAGCCTGGGAGTATGTCAGCTTTGGTTTACACTGCAATAAAGAAAAAGCAGTTAATTACTAGAGCTGAGATTCTTCATCAAATTAGTCTTAAAGAAAGGAGATGCAAATAGAAAGCATTACCAATTCAGCATTATTTGGGTCAAGGATAAAGTATTCCTCTGTCTCAGGAGACTATAAAAATTATTCTAGTTTGTGCTATTTGAAGCTATTTGGCAAAATCAACTAAAAATGAAAGAGTACAAAAGTAAAGATGAAATATTACTTCTGCCCCAAATATGCACTTAGTAGTTCCTGCCATAGCAGGACCTTTCATAATCTGTTTTTCTAGTGTAACAAAGTGGGATAATTGAGTTAGCCAGAATTCCCTTCAGGGAGAGTGCTGTATTTGACAGAGGAAATGCCTTGCCAAACGTGTATGTGTTAGAAGCTGAGAAATCGATAGGGTGTGAATGTAGGTAGACAAGACGGTGGATTTTCTGGTAGTTTCAGAAGAGGGAGAGACAGGGAGAGAGGAATAAGAGGGAATGGGATGGTGCAAGTAGGAAAATGAAAGCCTTAACAACGTGACGCCTCTCCGAGACTGCCAGTACCTTTCTTGATGAAGATCTATGGGAAAAAATTACAAAAGGTTTGGACTCAGTGAGTAGAAAATGATGAACATACAGATCTCATACAGGATATCACGAGGTTGATCAGAGATCATCTGAAAGGAAGGAGAATGGTGAAGGCAGAGAGAAGCATGAGGAATCAGGACATTGGACAAAGCCTTCACATGATTTTAGAGGTAGGTTTGTTTGTTTTTGAGACAGAGTCTCACTCTGTTCCCAGGCTGGAGTACAATGGCTCAATCTCAGCTCACTGCAACCTCCACCTCCCAGGTTCAAGTAATTCTCCTGCCTCAGCCTCCTTAGTAGCTGGGATTACAGGCACGCACCACCATGCCCAGCTAATTTTTGTATTTTTAGTAGTTTCACCATGTTGGCCAGGCTAGTCTCCAACTCATGACCTCAGGTGATCCACCCACCTTGGCCTCCCAAAGTGCTGGGATTACAGGCATGGGCCACTGCACCTGGCCGGTTTCAGGGTTTTGAGCCAAGTTTAGCCAATTATTTGAGGGACCTGGTGTACAAATGACACATAGGTAACAAGTATTTTGTTTTGTGATTTTGTTTCTAAACTTATCTAGGTTGCTTTGAACTAAGATGGAAAAGTTTAGTAAGTAAATTCGATCTTATTGGATCTCAGATGTAACTATCATTCTAGAACCAGGTAGGCCCCTCGCTCTATTAATTTAATGCTATGTAATCACTGTTGCTATTTTTCCTCCTCTGCTACAAAAGCAGTCTGACTCCTGGTGAAGGAAGGGGAATAGACTAGCACAGCATGATCTGTGAGGGCCTATGGAATTCAACATCAATGTCACAGGGAAATTAGGGAAACTATTGAGACAGCGATTATAGATCTGGGAATGGAGAGGTGGGGTTAAGGGAGACACAGTTTAAGAGAGAGCATTTCCTAAAGAGAGCCAATCGTACTCAGTGTTAGATGGTGAAGATGCTTCCCAGAATGCAAAAATTCAAGAAACTCCTGATGATTCAGCAGGCTGGACATCGATCTTCAGCCCAGCCCTTATCCTGCTTTACCTATCTAAAAATGGTTCTGTAATGACTAAATGGCCTCTGTGGGGCTGTTGATCATGCAGGTATTGGGAACCCTTGTGTAGGCTGCATATCCCCAGTAACTAGAGACACATTTGAAAAAAGCGAGGATGAGAGAAGAGGATTTGGGGTTGTGAGTAGAACACATCACTGACATAGAGAAAGGATGGCAATTAATATAAATTGTGCAGGGTCTGGCGTTAGGAATTGGCATGGCCTCAAAGGCACCAATGTATTTGTCTTGGTAGCAAAATGCTTACCAGAGCTCAAAAGTAAATTGCCACAACTCATATGCCGACGTTTTGGCTGTGCCCAAATGGGAATTTGAAAAGACCTCCACATTTGTGTTAATATTCAAAGGACTTTTGCCATCAGAAAAGCAACAAGGTAGCAAGGAACACAATTTGGAAAATAAGGCCAGCTGGAGGATGTTGCTCTCACAGCAATTTAAGAAAAAAGATTACTGTTAAAAGTCAAGTTCGAGGGCCTCCCACTGCCCATCACTCTTCCCCTATGGTGAAAAGCTGTATCATTTTAGACTTCAAAGCAAATGCAGGAATCAATTTCTCCCCCAAGTACACCCTGGACCCTAATGACTAATTCTCCATCTATGAATTAATGTCTTTCTGACCAATAAATGTCTGAAATTCTATGTGGTGTTTTGGTACACAAGGCATTTGCATAAGAAATCCCTCATCTTCCCAAATTTCATTCTTAACTCTATATATATTTGGCAAACTGTGGTCTCTACTTCTAGTCTCTGCTCTGGCCCTTGGTCCTGGAACCAGGACATTGCTTACTTTGCACAGCTCTCTGGCAGAAGCAGCTCCTATTGCCTTAGGTGGGGACTCCATACCCTTGCTCCTAGACCCAAGATGCACTGAGAGAACATCCAGATGTTTATCCAAATATGTATGGCCTTAGAGGCCCAAGTAGCAACATTAAATAAACATAAGCAATATGCAAGGCATAACAGATCTTTCTCCAAAGTTCCAACACCTGAAAAGATAAAAATCTAAGAAGTATACCTCAAACAAGAATACAGGGTACTAAATATTCTAGAATAGTCCCAATATGTGCCTGGCAAGTATAATTATTTGAATTCTAGCCTCTTCTAATTTTTTTCTATTTTTGAAATCGTTTCAGGATCATTTCCAAAGGGTCCCTGCTATGTGCTGGTCAGATAGAAGGGGGAAATTGGAAGCTGCCTTCATAAGCAAATGATAAAATTGCTATACTTCAACCAGCTAAAAAGCAGTGCTCTGAAAATTTCCTGACTTGCCTGACAGTTTTAAGTTTTATTATGTAGAGGAAGTGACCAGGGAAATTGCTACTGTGTGGTAAATTCTGACCAATGGGGAGGAATTTGTTGGTGAAGTGAAAATGACAAGCATCTTGGGAGAAAGCTACATGTCAGAATCAGATATGTTCAGTATGAAGAAGTAAGGACTCATGCAACACACGATTGCCGACTGCTGTCTTCAAGTATTTGAAGAGCATCCATGTGGAAGAGAGGTTTCAATTGTTTTATTTATGCCTAAGTAAAACTAAGTCTGATGAATTGAAACTGCAGGGTGATAGATTTCAGTTATCCTAAAGAAATCACTTTCAAAAATCGTCAGTACTATTAAAAGCTTTGACAACTATAAGGCAAACTTTCAGCATAAGTGAGGGAAGTAGTTATAATGAACAGGATGAAGATGTCCCAGGGGAAATTACAATGGCAAAAATCTTTACAGTAAAGCAGCTCTCAGAGATGTCTCACAACATTGGAAGCACAAAAGAGAAAATGTTGTAAGTTGATCAAAGCTTAGAAGAGTATGAGAACTAGCCAAGGCATCGAAAAGATGCTCCCTTGGCCAGGTGCAGTGGCTCACTCCTGTAATTCTAACAGTATCAGGAGGCAGAGGCAGGAGGATTGCTTGAAGCCAGGAGTTCAAGAACAGCATGAGCAATAAAGTAAGACCTTGTCCCTACAAAAAAAAAAAATTTTTTTTAATTAGCTGAGCATGGTAGCACACTTGTAGTTCCAGCTACTTGGAAGGCTGAGGCAGGAGGATTGCTTGAGCCCAGGAGTTCAAGGCTGCAGTGAGCTATGATCGAGCTACTGCACATCAACCTGGGTGACAGAGCTAGACATTGTCTCTAAAAAGAAAAAAGAAAGAAAAAGAAAAAGAAAAGTTACTCTCTCCATACTCTCCATATCATAAATTATGTAACGAGAAGAAGGCAAACACTGTTTAAACTACTTGTAATAAGTTTATTTTATAATTAAAGCATTTTAATTCTCAAGGTATCTAATGTTTCAAATTACAGTGTACTAAATAAATACCAGTTTTACTATTTTTAAATTTCCTATACATTCATAACTAACAATAAGACAGTCTTGTGGGTTTTTTTCTTTTAAGACAAGGTCTCTCTCTGTTGCCCAGGCTGGATTGCAGTGGCACCATCACAGCTCACTGCAGCCTCAACCTCCTAAGCTCAAGGTGTTCCTCCCACCTCAGCCTCCTAAGTAGCTGGAACTACATACAGGCATGTGCCTCCACACCTGGCTAATTTTTTATTTTTGTAGAGATGAGCTCTCATTATGCTGCCCAGGCTGGTCTCAAACTCCTGGGTTCAAGTGATCTTCCCACCTCAGCTCCCAAAGTGCTAGGATTATAAGTGTGAGCCACTGTTACTGAAACACCAGGGGTTTGGTCTAAGTCCTGCTGCTCACTGCACCGAAAGCCAATCACTGAGACAACAAGTATTGCCAAGGAAGAAGGCTTTAATCAGGTGCTGCAGCTGAGGAGATGGGAGCTCAATCTCAAATCCATCTCCCTGACTAATTAAAACTAGGAGTTTATACAGCAGGGAAGAAATGTAACAATGTGTAAGAAAACAAGACCTAGGGAGGGGCAAGGAGGCATCTGGTAAGGTGATCTGGTGAGTTTCAGTTCTCTGATACCTTTGTTGAGCAACCTGAAGGTTGTTTCCTGAGGAAGGAATTCATATACAACAAATACAAGTTTCAAGCTTTAACAGCAGAAGGGTCAATCAACTGTCTATGGAACAATTGGGCTGGTTTCACCACCGTGCTCAGCTTGTTTTTAATGTTTTGACAAAAGATCACAGAACAATTGTAATTTTTATCTTTGTTTATTAAGATTGCTTTTCATAGTTTCAGCCTGCATAGTTGTTGTTGTTATTATTATTATTATTATTATTATTATTATTATTATTATTATTATTATTATTTGAGATGGAGTTTTGCTCTGTTGTCCAGGCTGGAGTGCAGTGACTCCATCTCGGCTCACTGCAACCTCTGCCTCCCAGGTTCAAGCAATTCTCTTGCCTCAGCCACCTGAGTAGCTGGGACTACAGGCATGCGCCACCATGCTTGGCTAATTTTTTTGCATTTTTTAGTAGAGACGGGGTTTCACCATGTTGCTCAGGCTGGTCTCAAACTCCTGATCTCAAATGATCTGCCCACCTCAGCCTCCCAAAGTGCTGGGATTATAGATGTGAGCCACCACACCTGGCCATGTAGTTATTTTTATGGTCCCATATAATGCACAAAGTAATGACTGCCTGTTTGAGAAATTCCTTGTCAGTCAGTGAGATTATTTTTTACAGTTACTAGATTTGAAATTATTATAAGTATAGTAACTGTAATTAGAAAACAAAGAATTAGATGTTAGAAAAACAAACTGAGTTTTAAATAGTAAAAGTATTTTTTAATTAGAGCTAATTGCATGTTTTGTTTTGTTTTAAAGGATTAAACTGCTTCGGCATCTAGTAAACTCCTCCCAGAAGGAAAACTAGAGACATGCTTTTCCCTAAATACTACTTCAGAGCCCATAATAAAGGTGCATATTGAACAAGTGGATCTTCATCAAGAATGAAAGCTGTCTGCTTCAAAGTAAAATCTGTCACAGTGTCATCTAAAAGGAAAAGTTTCCAATTTTAAAAGCATGCCAGTACATTTGAAGGTGGGGCTCACTACAAGTCTTGGAACCAACATATTTTCTTTGTATCAGTCCCTGTGATCATCTGAGCTGAAGAAATAAAAAAACACACACAAAAAAAGATTAATTCTTCTGTTACTTTCCTATGCCCTTATGTTCCAGTTGGAAAATGCTGGTAAAGACATTAGGGCTGAACGCAAGATTATGTGTCTAATAAACCAAGTTCACATACAAAAAAAAAGCCTTGTAAAGATAAATGACTAAATCTTAGCTCCTCCACCCCTGCCTGCAACTAAATGGATCAAAATAAAGATCCATTTGGAGAAAAAGAACAAGAAGTACGAGAAACAATGAAAATGCAAAATTGGGCCCCGTATGAATATATGTCACAGGTATTTCTTCTGAGACTCACTTCATACTAAGTTACCCTAAAAATGTAAATATAGACTTGTTTTAAGGTATAGTAATCAAAAAACTGTTATTTATTGAACAAATAACATATATAGTTTTACTATCTGCCAGGCACTGTTCTAAACATTTTATAAATATCAGCTCAAGTGATCCTTGGGCCTGATCCTCCTGAGTTTCTGGGATTACAGAAACTCTGGGATGAGCCACTATGCCCAGCTTCCTTCTTTATTTATTTATTTATTTATTACATTTATTTAGAAAACCTAGGTTAGGCCCAGTGCAGTGGCTCACACCTATAATCCCAGCACTTTGGGAGGCCAAGGCGGGCAGATCACCTGAGATCAGGAGTTCAAGACCAGCCTGACCAACATGGAGAAACCCTGTCTCTACTAAAAATACAAAATTAGCCAGGCGTGGTGGTGCATGCCTGTAATCCCAGCTACTAGGGTGGCTGAAGCAGGAAAATCGCTTGAACCTGGCAGGCGGAGGTTGCGGTGAGTCAAGATTGCGCCACTGCACTCCAGCCTGGGCCACAAAAGTGAAACTCGGTCCCCCACCACCCAAAAAAAAAAGAAAGAAAAAAGAAAGGAAAAGAAAATCGAGGTTAAAAGAGATTAAGTAACTCGTTAAAAGTGTCACAGCCAATAAGGTGTGGAGCCTGGACTCAAGGCCGGGTTGATTTTATTCCAAAGATAATTCTTTTGTCCACAGTTCTATACTGTTCTATATAATTTTCCAAGATGAGTTATTTCCTTACAAGGATATTCAAAGGAAGAGTCTGGGGAACAGCAGAAGCCACATGCTGTCTTACAGAGAAAATTCTTGCTCTGGAAGATGATAAGCCACATGGATACCTCATGACTAACCTTTTATCATCAACAAGTCATTCATGGGTGCCCAACTAGAATAAATCCTACATAATAAAAATTTAAATGGAAGTTTAACAATCAAACTATAATGCAAACATCCCCTCTAAGGTATCAATTGTCACTAACATTTTGTAGCTACTGCAGACCATTTCTCAGAAAAAAACATTCAGACACTTTACAAATATTTTATGCTAGTCTTTTTCAAAATGCTTATGCTGCTGCCCTTTCCAAAATAATTACACATTTTAGATCCTAAAACGTGTCAACAGTCCCAGTCATAGTTTCCAGGACCACACATTTCTTATTATTTCTGTTTTCCTCTACCATTTCTCATTATCAGTGAATGAAGAGAACACTTCATTTCAAAAATTATGCCACGTACTCTTTCAAGCATCATTTCCTTTGAAAAAAATATGTAAAAATAAAGCAAAAAGAGACAGTGTATATAAAAATTAATTTTAGATACAATGACTGATGCTTTTTCAAGACAGATTAACTCTCAGAATGTGAGCATCATTGTACGTGTTCATTTATAAATTGTCTGTTTTATAGTAAATGACTTAAATAATGACTCTCCATATACGTATTTTTCTTTTCCTAAAGAATTCTTGGCCAGGTGCAGTGGCTCACACCTATAATCCTAGCATTTTGGGAGGCCAAGGCAGGCGGATCACTTGAGGTCAGGAGTTTGAGACCAGCTTGGCCAACATGGTGAAACCCCATCTCTACTAAAAATAGAAAAATTAGCTGGGCATGATGGTGGGCGCCTGTAATCCCAGCTACCTGGGAGACTGAGGCAAGGAGAATCACTTTAACTCAGGAGGTGGAGGCTGTACTGAGCCAAGATCATGCCACTGCACTCCAGCCTGGGCGATAGAGTGAGACTCTGTCAAAAAAAAAAAAAAAAGAAAGAAAGAAAAGAAAGAAAGGAAGGGAGGGAGGGAGGAAGGAAAGAAGGAAGGAAGGAAGGAAGGAAAAAAGAAAAGGAAAAAAAAAGAAAAGAAAAGAGAAGAGAATGCTTGAGGCATAGATTTTATTTTTTTTAGAATCCCAGCGGTTCCCAAGCAACTCATATGGTCTCATGGTGGAGGGAGGAAGATAGGGTTGCCTATTTTATCTTATTCCCCCCTCAGCAGTTACAAAGTGATCAAAAAATGGAGTAGTAACTTTTGAAAAGTAAAAGTTCCATTCATTTTGGGACAGCTTGTTTGATTATGATCTTTTTACATGAACTTTACCTGTTCCATCGAGAATTTATCAAAACATATGGAGCCACTGCATGCGTATAGTCCCAGCTACTCAGGAGACTGAGGCAGGAGGATTGTTTCAGTCTAGGAGTTGGAAGCTACAGTGACCTATGATTGCACCTGTGACTAGCCATTACACTCCAGCATGGGCAACATAGCAAGACCCTGTCTCAAAAAAGCAAAATAAAACATATACATATGTAAGAAACCTGTTTGAAAATGGGATATTTTACTATATTGCCAAATTAACCATAAGGCTAATCAGTTACCATAAGGCTTAGTTGGTTTTGTGTTGCTATTACAGAATACCACAGATTGGGTAAGTTTATAAGAAACAGATCTATTTCTTACAGTTCTGGAGTCCGGGAAGTCCAAGATTGAGGGGCTGCATCTGGTGAGGGCCTTCTTGCTCCATCATCCCATGGTGGAAGGCAGAAGGGCCAGGGAAAGAGAGAGAGATAGACAGAGGGTGAGGGCGGAGGGAGATGAACTCATTATTTTATCAAGAACCTACTCCCATGATGACTAACTCATTCCTGTGATAACAGCATTAATCCTCTTAAAGATCTTCTCTTTCAACACTGTTGCACTGGAAACTAAGTTTCCAACACATGAACTTTGGGGGACACATTCATACCATAGCAGCATCTATTCACTAATTCATCACTCCTTAATTCTCAAATTTTCCTTGGTAAGAACTCCTTTGCATTTTCCAACCCCACCACACCACACCACCAACTCCAAGTCCTACAGTATTAAACTTTCTGAATACTTAACAAAATTTATATTTAAGTTATAGACAATTTCCTTTATACAACTGTTCTGTGATAAGTGCTGGCTACAAGAGCTGCCTATGTAGTTTTCTCCTCAAAGCCATGGGTCAAGCCTGCACTGGGAGTAGAGAAAGAAATAAGATTTATGTTGAATTTGAGAATAAAGCATTAAACTGGACTGGACTGAGATTTATTAACTAAGATAGTTATGGTAAGGATTAGATGGGGTAACATATGGAATGTCTTTGCCCTCAACAGTGGTGAGAAGACAAGTAGTTAACTCATAGACAATAGGAAAATCTCCCTCAACATTCAATTACACAAATAAATCCTTTCCCAATGCATTTCTTCCAGTCTTCTCTTCACCAGGCCAAGATGTCTAAAACAGGTGTTTTTTATTTGCATAATCTAAAGGTTGAATAAAACGTTGAAGAGTTTTTTTAAAAATCACTAAAATTATCTACAGTGTAGCATCTTCTCTCTCCGGGCTTATTAACTATAGTTAAATGCCTGTCTACAAGCAAAAAATAGGGCAGTGGCCCACTTTCAAGGTAGTACCAAAGAGAAAGTGCATTTTGCTGTCCTCATCATACCCACCATCTGTCTTTATACATTACTCCCTAAAGATCCAGAACTACTGGGAGTCACAGCTAATGCTAGATTCGAGTGTTTAATGAGTGAAAAAAAAAATTAAACAAAAACAAAAACAAAAGAGCCATCACAAACTGCAAATTAAGGGATCAGCAAAACCCCTGCTGCTTTAAAAATCCCATTCAACCTTGCCAATACACTAATTAATATAATAAAAAACACAAAGATCTTGCTTAAAATTAAACGAGCGGGCTGCCCACGGCTTGCTGCCCACTCTCTGAGCAAGCATCTGCTTAGAATGTAACCAATTGTCTCCTTGGGAGGTTAAAAGAAGGGAGGGAAAATTACTTTGGCAGAGAGTCCAACAGTTAACTATGCCCCTTTTGAAAATAGAATTCTTATCCTGCTTTTAATGCCAAGCACATACAATGTCAAGTAAATTGGTCTTAATACAAAACATGACAGAACTGCAGCAAATGGATTAAAGTGCTGCTATGTACATTAACAAAAATAACAGAATATATATATATATATATACAAATTAATCTCATAGTGTTAAACCAGTTTTTGAAAATTCTATCCTTTCCGACTTGCACTACCCTCTTGTACCAAGCACAGGGCTTGCCACATATTGGGTACTCAGTAAATATGTTTAATAACACTGGTGAAAAACCACACACCCATTGATGTTCCATAGGCAATGAACAATGTTAGAGATTCAATATTAGTCCCTGATGCCTAAACTCAGAGGCCAAACATCTTATTTAGCTTAATTCAATCAATACTCATTTATTATACCCATCACTGTTTCGGGCACAATAAACAAAACACAAAAATGGAAATTGCCCTGAGCAGCTTACATTTTGGTCTCCAAGAGAAAAAAAATGCAGATACAAAAAAGTTCAATAAAAACACAAAGAAATAAAAACCGAATGACTAATAACAGTAAACTTTGATATTTCTATTACTGTTTCTTGATAAATAGTAAAACATGCTAGTTGTTAAGCATCTTCTATGTGTCAGACACTATAGTTGGTGATTTGTGTATATTATTTCATTTAGTTCTCACAGTTTTGCTTCAAATTAGGTTTTGCAATCCCTAGTTTTAAAGAAAAGAAAACAGGGCCAGGCACGGTGGCTCATGTCTGTAATCCCAGCACTTTGGGAGGCTGAGGCAGGCAGATCACGAGGTCAGGAGATGGAGACCATCCTGGCTAACACGGTGAAACCCCGTCTCTACTGAAAATACAAAAAATTAGCCGGCATCTGAAGTCCCAGCTACTTGGGAGGCTGAGGCAGGAGAATGGCATGAACCTGGGAGGCAGAGCTTGCAGTGAGCCCAGACTGCGCCACTGCACTCCAGCCTGGGCAACAGAGTGAGACTCTGTCTCAAAAAAAAAAAAAAAAAAAAAAAAAAAAAAAACAAGAAAGAAAAAAGAAAAGAAAACAGATATTCTCAGGCATTCAAGATGAGCCTGGCAAACATGGCAAAATCTCTTCTCTACTAAAAATACAAAAATTAGCCGGGCGTAGTGGCAGGCGCCTATAATCCCAGCTACTTGGGAGGCTGAGGCAGGAGAATAGCTTGAACCCAGGTGACAGAGGTTGCAGTGAGCTGAGATCGTGCCATTGCACTCCAGCCTGGGCGATGAGAGCATGACTCCATCTCAAAAAAAGAAAAAATAAAATAAAATAAAATAAAATTCTCAGGGAGGTTGTCCAAGGCGATGCCCTTAGTAAAGGACAGAGTTAGAATCACAGATACCTGACTTCAAAGATTATTGTCTAAGATGCTAGGCTGTTTACTGTTTTTAAAACTGATAACGTATGTTTGTGCCCCTTCTCAGAACTACAGAGAAGTTTAGAAGTTATAGCTTAAATAATGAAATTGAAAATACTAGGACATTTTGAGAATTGTATAAGAAGAAAAATGATCTAAGAACTTGCAACCTAAACTATTTGTTACCAAAACACCAGAGGTTCAGTCTAGGTCCTGCTGCTTGCTAAACAGAAAACCAATCACTGAGACATGTATTGCCAAGGAGGAAGAAGGCTTTAATAGGGTGCTGCAGCTGAGAAGATGGGCTCTCAGTCTCAAATCCATTTCCTTGACTGACTAGAACTAGGAGAAGAAATGTATAGCGGGGAAGAAATGTACAGCAGGGAAGAGATGTAACAATGTGTAAAAAAATAAGAACTAGGGAGTGGCAAGGAAGCATCTGGTGTGGTGATCTGGTGAGTGCCTGTCTTTGATACTTTCTTGAGAGGCCTGAAGATCCTTTCTTGATGAAGGAACTCAGATCAAACAAATATAAGTTTCAAGCTTTAAGATCAGAAGGGTCAATTTCTATGTTTATCAAAAAGAACAGTCTATGGGACTATTGGGTCAGTTTCATATTCAGGAAAATTTACACTCTTTATTTACTGCACATGCATAGAAAATGAAAGATTACTTTAGGAAGGTAGAAAATTTTTATTAAAGAGACGAGATTTGAGCCTTGCCTAGAGGAATCTAAAATTAAGTAAGATTCAACCCCTGTACTCAAGGAGCTAATGGTCTAATAAGAGAGAAAGACCTAAATCAATAGACATTTATACAGGATAAAGCCATTTAGAATTTAACTAAAATTTCTTTTACACTACCAAAACGTGTGTTCTACACTTCTGTAGTGAGACATATTTGGCCCTGGGAAGGTTTTTAATGATAGCTATGACTCATATTGAACACATCCTTCATTTTACTATGAAGTAAAAAGTAGGGTTTTCAAAACTCAAATGACCAGTGACACTGTATCTTTATGAACACCTTTTCAAAACCAAATGCATAATTTGTAATTCTGTTATACATCATTTTAATAACAAAAATAAAACATAACTGTTAAAAAACTTTAGTAATTAAAAAATGTATGAGGCATAAAGGGACAGCCCCTCCTTTAATTCTGTCACCTTGAATCCTGCCACTCATTTATTTGTTATTCAACAGATATTTGTTGAATGCCTATTATGTGTCAGGCAATGTCCTTCCTAGATTCTTGGACAGTCCATGAACAAAAGAGACAAAGATCCTTGTTCTTATAGAGTTTATATTCTACCAGGAGAAAGAAAGGCAACAAAGTATGTAAGTTATGTAGTATACTAGAAGGTGCTACGTACTTTGGAAAACCAAGTAAAACAGGGAAGAGGGCCTGGCAGTGCAAGATGAATGGGTGCAATATTAAACAGGGAATCCAGGGTGAGCCCCATTGAGAAGAGACATTGTCCATGCAAATCCAAATATATACTCATATACTCTTGCCCCCACT